>NW_021159993.1:0-176674 GCF_000001405.40 Homo sapiens | reverse complement strand
ATATTATCTCACTCCACCCTGGCCTATAAGGTTTCTCCTGAGAAGTCTGCTGCCAAGTATATTGGATCTCCCTGTGTTATTTGCTTACTTTTTATCACTGCTTTCAGGATCCTCTCTTCTTTGTCTTTGACCTTTGTAAGTTTGATTATAATATGTCTTGGGGTACTGCTATTTGAGTTGCATCTGATTGGTGATTTTTAACTTTCCTGCACCTGAATATCTATATATTTCTTCAGGTTTGGAAAGCTTTTTTATTGTTTCTTTGAAATAATGAAATAAGTTGTCTACCCCTTTTTCTATCTCAGTTCCCTCTTTAACTACAATAACCCAGATACTTGCTCTTTTCATATTGTCCCATAGATTCTGTAAGCAGTCTTCATTCTTTTTATTTTTTCTCCTTTTTTGTGTATTTTCAAATAGGCGCTGATTAATCTGGCTGTTGATATTCTCTATTTCATTCTTCATTTCATTCATTGCATTTTTCACCTCCAGGATTTCTGTTTGGTTTTTAAAATTATTTCAATGTCTCTGTCAAATTCTGTGATAAGTTTCACAATTGATTCTCTGATTTTTCTTGAAGTTCAATGAGCTTCCTTAAAACATCTATCTTGAATTCTTTGTCTGAGAGATCACACATCTTAATCACTTTAGCGTTGGTCTTTGGTACTATTTTATGTTGGTTTCCTATTTCCCTGTATGTTCTTGATGCTTGTTGACATGGGATGATGTCTGTGCATTGAAGGATTAGGTATTTATTTTAATTTGCAGTCTGGCTTTGTCTGTGCCTATTCTTCTTCAGAGGGCCTTCCAGGGATTCTAAGCAGACTGACTGTTGATTCCCCTGAGTGTTATGACCACTGCAGCCATCTCAGCTGGAGGATGCGCTAAGCCCAGGCTTGCCCCAAGTTTTGTGAAGGAATTGGGGTTGACATGGTTTTTCAGCCCAGATTGACTTGGGGAAGGCCAAGGAAAGTACTGAGGCTACCTGGGAATACTGACCAGGAACCTGAATCCAGAAGACTTTCCTGGTGGCCCAGATTGGCATGCCTCCCAGCAGGTCTCTGCACAGGTGGAATGGGTGCCTGACTGCAGCAAGAGGAGCTGAAGCTGAGACTGGCCACGTTCAGGATCCACTGTGGGTTGGAGGTTGGTGACCCCATCAGGGAGGTTCATACTCCTAGGCTACAAGATATGGGTGAGTCCCCTCTGGGTCCTTGTATAAGCATCCCTGAGCTGGGACCTCAGCTGAAGGGGGCTGGATCTGAGCCACAGGGCAACATTCAGGTTCACTGCCAAAACAGATGTCAGTGAGCAGACAAGCCTTTCTGCCAAGGCACTAATGTGTGTGATTCCACCTGGAGCCCTTGGCCTATGGTTTTGGTTGTAGGCTCAAGGCCAAATGGACCTGTAGCTAAACACGTTGGAAGACTGGGCCATTTGTGAGCTTGAACCTGGGAGCAGGCTTGGCAGATCAGCCACCTAGGTGAGGGTCTGCACTCTCAAAACAACCCTCCCAGTCTTGGGCTCCACTGGGGTTTCACAAACTCCTACTTGAATCCTGAGGTTCTCAAAGAGAAGCTTTTGACTGTGGTTGGGTACAGAATTATTTTGGGGGGGATATGAGCAGGTTACCTATGTTCCACTACCTTAATGATGTCACCTGTAATATGCAAGCATTTCCCAATTCCAGGCAGTGATCAGTGCTAAGAGGAAAACCAGGCAAGGGAGAGGACAACAGGGATGGGGTGACCTAGCCAGAGGCCTTTTGGAGAAGGTGATGTCTGAGCACGGAGATTTGCATGGGGGAAGAAAGCCTGGGGAAGTTCATGGGAAAGAGCACTCCAGGTGAAGGGTGCAGCTGGTGAAAGGCCCTGACTTGGTCTGAGCTTGGAGATTGTGGTCAGCAGAATAAGGGTCCCCAGAGAGCAGGAGTCCTGATCCTGAAGCTGTGAACAGCTTGGGCTGCAAGGCAAAGGGGAATTCAGGCTGCAGTGGAATTCAGGCTGAGAATCAGCCATTCTTACCATTGGGAGGTTATTCTGTACTTGCAGGTGGCCCAGTGTCATCACAGGGTCCTTCACTGTAAAAGAGGGATGCAGGAACAGAGGCCAGAGTGATGTGATGTGAGGACTCAACCCACTGGTGCTGACTTTGAGGATGGATGAAGGACCATGAGCCAAGGAAGGCAGGTGGCCTCTGGGAGCTGGACAAGGCAGGGAAACAGCTTCTCTGCTCAGGAGCCTCCGGAAGGGATATGGGCCTGCTGACAGCTTGACTTTAACACAGTGAGACTCTTGTTGGAGTTCTGACCTCCAGTATGTGAGAAAACACATCTGTGTTGTTTTATGCCACTAAGTTTGTGGTGGTTTGTTAGGGCAGCCAGGGAAGCTATTACACTTTCTTTCCGGTTCTAGAGAACCGGAAAGAACACTCTGTCCTTCAGGCATCTCCCTTAGCCTCCTGGGGCTCAATTTTCCCATCTATACTGAGAGAGAAGGGGGCCCACCCATTTAAAGTCTGATTTCCCTTTGCCTTTCCCTTTACTCTCCTGGGAGTCACCAGCGAGCAGGATGCTGTCAGGGGTGGTGGACATCACTTGGCTCAACAGGTCTGCCTTGGCTGCCAGGACAACTCTCTCCAGGCCTCAGTGAGGTGGTGACACTTGCAGGTACTTGTGACTGCAGTTGGGGCCGGGGCCTCTGCAGTGAGCAGGACCTCCCCCGGGGAGGTCCCCAGGCTCACTCCCAGGCTGCCGACTCCCAAGTTCATGCCTCCAGCCCAGACCTCCGGCCTATGCAACTGGAGCGTGCACCCAATCACGTGTCCAAGGGATCCCTGCCACCTTCACTGGGGTGTCCCACTCAGTACGCATAGAAGCCCACTCGGTCTTCTGCATCTCCCCCGTCCAGAGCTTTCCAATTGTCCTTGTGGCTCAGTTTCTCTTGTGCCCCACATCAATCCCTCAGAAAATCCTGATGGCACCATGTTCAGCACAAACCCCAAATCTGGGGCATCCTCCCCCTCCAGCCCTCCCACTCAGGCCCGGGCCCCACCCCTCAGGCCTGGACGCCTACAGGAGCCACGTCACGGTGTCTCCCTGCCCATAAATACATGAGGTTGCACAGCTCCCCACCTGCGGCTCCTGGTGGTCTTGCTGGTGACATCTGTCTGGACCCCTCTGACTCATCTCTCCATGGTGTGTCCCCTCCCCGACGCCACTCAGCTGCCCGGGCCACCTCGCTGTTCCTAGAATACCCAAGCTCACTTCTACCCCTGGATCTTGGTGCTCACTGTGCTGTTTGTCCCAGAGCTCTCCTCCCCAGCCCGGCAGACTCCCGCCTTCCTGTGTGCTTCAACCCAAGGTCTCCTCTGACCCCCACAGAGAGCTGGAGCCCCTTCCCCTAAGAATCCCCAGAACCAACTTGCGAGAACCACAGAATCATCTGTCCCCAGTCCCCATGGTCTGAAGGCTGGCTCACGGGGCTGGAGCTGTGCCTGCCTGGACCCTTCCATAGCCCTGGCACCTGGAACAGTGGGTGTTCACCTAGCCCTCTTGGAACGGTGGGAAGGACAAGGGAGCCCAAGCCCCAGATGGCCTGTCCCCACATCCTTGGAGCCAGCCTGGAGCTGGGACTCGGCCCTGGGCTGCACCTGCCCTTGTGATGGCCGTGGGCTCTCTGCAGCCAGGCCAGCTGCAGCCGCTCTCTGCTCTTTGGGGGACTTCACAGCACGCCCTCCTGGGAACAGCATTGCTGGGAAGTGCAGTGGCCCGGCCCGGGCTCGGTGGCCCAGGAGCTGCATGCCCCCCACTTCTCCTCCATGGCTTCTTCTCCCCTGAAAGAGACAGGCAGAGTTCTCTGCCAACCTCAGGCAGGGCCCATCTGATGTTGGTGCCAGTCTCAGCTCTGGCACTGTCCGTGGTATCATCCCACTCTCCCAGGCTCCCGATCGGTACAATGTACCAGTCACCCCCAATGGTGTCTGTGCAGGGGAGGGGCAGTGTCTCGAAGCGGAGCCCTTAGAGAGTGTCTTTGTGTGTTCGAGCTGCTGTAATAAAAGTAACACAGACTGTGGGGCTGAAGCAACAGACGTGGACATCCTCACAGCTCCGGAGGCTGGAAGGCCCAGGTCAAGGTGCTCACACAGTGGTGTCTGATGAGGCTCTCTGCTGTCTTGCTTGGTCCATGCTGTGTCCCCACGTGGTGGGAGGCCAGGGAGAGAGCACACACTCTGGTCTCTTCTTATAAAGGCACCGATCCTTCTATGAGGCCTTCCGTGGGATGAGATAATCACTTCCTGCAGTCCCCTCCTAACACTGGGGATCAGGGCTTCAACATAGAAATGGGGGGTGGGCAGCAGGCCGGGTGTGGTGGCTCACACCTATAGTCCCAGCACTTTGGGAGGCTGAGGCGGGGGTATCACTTGAGATCAGGCGTTTGAGACCAGCCTGACCAACATGGCAAAACCCCGTCTCTATTAAAAATACAAAAATTAGCCGGATGTGGTGCTGTGTGCCTGTAATCTCAGCTACTCAGGAGGCTGAGACGGGAGAATCACTTGAATCCAGGAGGCGGAGGTTGCAGTGAGTGGAGATTGCACCACTGCACAATCTGCCTGGGTGACAGAGCAAGACTCCATCTCGAAAGAAAGAGAGAGAAAGAAAGAATGAAAGAGAGAGAGAGGGAAAGAAAGAAAGAAAGAAAGAAAGAAAGAAAGAAAGAAAGAAAGAAAGAAAGAAAGAAAGAAAGAAGAAAGAAAGAAGGAAGAAAGAAAAAGAAAGAAGGAAAGAAAGAAAGAAGAAAGAAAGAAAGAAAGAAAGAAAGAAAGAAAGAGAAGAAAGAGAAAGGAAGGAAGGGAGGGAGGGAAAGAAAGAAGAAAGAAAGCAAGCAAGCAAGCAAGAAAGAAAGAAAGAGAAAGAAAGAAAAAGAAGAATGAGAAAGGAAGGGACGGAAGGAAAGAAAGAAAGAAGAAAGAAAGAAAGAAAGAAAGAAAGAAAGAAAGAAAGAAAGAAAGGAAGGAAGGAAGGAAGGAAGGAAGGAAGGAAGGAAGGAAGGAAGGAAGGAAGGAAAGAAAGAAAGAAAAAGAAAGAATAAAGGAATGAAGGAAGGAAAGAAGGAAGGAAGGAACTGGGGGGCCACAAACATTCAGTGCACAGCAGGTCACCTTCTAGTTAGGAGCAAGTCGATTTGCTTCTCTGAGCCTCAGTTTCCCCATCTGTAAAGTGAAGACACAGTGGTGTTACCCACATGGGTTGTGCGTGAGGATTAAATACCTGACTGCTTAGCAGGGTGCCTGCCCCGAAGGAAGCGCCCCTGTCTATTTCAGTTTGCTCTAAGCCCCAGGAAATAAGCAGGAGGCAGCAGAACCGCCCCTTTATACCCCAAGGCCCAACAGCCCAATGGTGTTTACCCCAAGTAAACCTTTGTTGTCCTAAAAGTCACTTGAGGCTAAGGTAAATAAGTACAGATAAAATACAGGAAGCCCAGGTAAAGATGAATTTCAGATAAACAAACACTGTTTAGTGTGAGTTTGTCCGGTGCAATATTTAGGACACATTCTAAAGAAATTACTCAACGTTCGTCTGAAATCTTCCTTTAACTGAGTGTCCCGTGGAGTTTGTATTTACTAAATATTCAGGTCGCAGGGTACCTCCACCTCTCGCGGGTTGCCTGCCCAGCTTTGGTCCTGGCACAGGTGCGATTTGGGGGTATGGCCACTGGGTGGCACCATTGTGCCACAGACAGGCCCTGCCTGCTTCTCTGGGCACTGCGGATGGGTGGGCTGGGCTCCCAGCCTTCTTCTGCACAGCCGCCTGGGCTTCCCTGCCACAGGGCACCTCATCTGAGCAGGGGGCCCTCCTGGGGCAGACGTCATCTCCTCCCGGGTCAGGTCAGTGCCAGAGGAACCCACGCCGCTGAGGAGCTGAGGGAGGGCACAGTCTCTGCCTTCCTCCTCATCTGTCCCTGCCTTTCTGTGCCCCTGCTCAGCTATCCCCAGGTCGGCCTGCCTGGGGGGTTTCTCTCTGTCTCTCTCTCTCTCTCTCTCTCTCTCTCTCTCTCTCTCTCTCTCTCTCTCTCTCCATTCAGCCTCAGTCCGCCTGGCACCTGCCCTGTGGCTCTCCCAGGCTGTGGCTGGAGCAGTCCTGGTCCCTCCCCATTCAAGGGATCCCAGAAGAGCGTCCAGCGGAGGGGCTGCTGATGGCTTTCTTGCAGTGGCTTAGCCCAGCCCTGAGCCTGGGGGCCTGCACACAGCAATACTCTGTGAATGTTCGTCGGTAGGACTGGGTCTGGGCCTGAGGCACAAGGGTCAGGAGCTGGAGTGTGGCAGGGAGGCCTCTCGCTCCATCCAAAGGCCCTGCTAAAAGTACCGACCAGTGCGTACTGCCTGATGTTCCACAGGTCCCCACTGTCCTGAGAAGCTCTGGGGCATTGCCGCAGCCTTGTCAGCGAGCTGTACATCTTAGGACACAGGGCCTTGTAGACAGCGGCAGCTGCCATCTCCAGAGTCCAGCCACCAGGCATAATCCGAGTGGGGACCCTGATAGTGCCAGGTGTGAACCCAACAGCTGGCTCTGTGCACCTCATTGTTCTGAACCCTTTACCTGCACTAACTCATGTCGTTCCCACCACAGATGTGAGGCAGGAGCTGTCGTCTCCATTCTGCATATGAAACCAGGCATGTGGGAGCTGAGTCCCTAACCCAAGGCCTCAGGCCAGTAGGTGGCTGAGCTGGGAACAGATGAATGAATGAATGAATGAATGAATGAATGATTTGTCCATATTGCTCAACCTGGGCAGAGAGATGCCCAGATATAGATATGATCCCCACTAGCCTAGATCCTAGAGATCATGGGGGAAAGACTGATCATGTGGCCTGGGTAAATGACCCCATGACTCAGTTTCCCTCTCTGCCCAACTGCAGTGAGCTGAGCTGTTTCCCAGGCTCAGTCACTGTGAAGTGCAGTGAACAGGAGCTGGCAAGAGGGTTTCCCAGCATCCCTCTGCAGTGTTCCCCTTTGGCCTTCCCTCTGCTTGGGACCCTTGAGCTCAGCCCAGGCCCAGATAGCAGGGGAGGGGGGCTCTGAGTGCACTCCAGGTGAGGGATCCCTTTGGGGCACCCCGCAGAGGCCACATCCCTTCCTGGTACCCAACTGGAAGGGTCCTGCCCACCTGCACTGCCAGACCTCCAGGAACCTCCAGGAAGCCTGCATGGGGAGAGATGGGGCCTGGATCACCTCCAGGCGGTTGGGCAGAGCCACTGTGGCCTTAAGTACCTGCATAAATCACTGCATTTACCACGCATTTCCTTGATGGGGTGTCAAGCTCGGAGACTGCAAGAGTCAGCATGAATAATTCAGGGCTGGGCTGTCTGTCCCCATCCAGAGGAAGAACTGCTGTGATGGAACTGGAACTGCACAGCACAGCGAGGCTGGCACAGGGGGTGGGGGCCGCTTGGACGAGCGCTCAGGGCAGTTCTGGCTTGAGAAAACTTGTCTGGCTGAGCCGAGCACACGGTCCCGGCTCACACCTTCAAGGACAGGCTGCTCACCACCCCAGGCAACCCACTTGATGACTGGACAGTGACCAGGGTCAGAGGGGGCTCCTGACCCTAAGAGGACACTTGCTCCCTGCACCCTCCCACACAGCCACAGCTCTCCAGGTCCTAAGAAGACCCCCCAGAAGCTGCTCTTCCCACGCCGATAGCCGGGGGCCTGCACCTGGTCACAGCTTGGGCAGAGACACAGGTGTTGCCCAAGAAACAGCAAGGTGGCATGAAGATTGGCATGGCGAGGCCTCGGCTGGAGGGGAGGGAGTGAGCTCCACAGGCCCCCTCTGTCCTGAGACACTCTAGGACATCACCGGAGCCTTGTCGGCTAGCTGCAGGTCTTAGGACACAGGGCGCTGTAGACAGCAGCAGCTGCCATCTCCAGAGTCCACCCACCAGACATAATCCAAGTGGGGACCCTGGTAGCGCCAGGTGGGCACCTGACAGCTGGCTCTGTGCACCCGACGGTTCCCTGATAGCACCAGGTGTGCACACGACAGCTGGCTCTGTGCACCCAGTGGTTCTGCTCACTGCTTCCCAGCCTAGTCCTCCTTCTCCCGTCCCCCACCCTCCATACCTTCCCGTCCTGGGTGTCCAAATCCCACTCACCAGGCAAGGTCACGAAGCCTGCTGAGCCTTCAACTTCCTTCCCCGTGGACCCTGGTCTCCCCTCCTCTGCCAGCCCCAGGCTGTGTAGGGGTGACCACCTGCCTCCTTGGGATGACTTCTGCCCACGGCTGCATCCCTGCCCCTCCTGGGGGGAGTCCTCGTCACAGCGTCTCCAGCACCCCACTAGGGCCCAGCACTCAGCAGGCACCCCCAAGTTCTCTGAACAGATGGAAGGAGCAATTGTGGGTGTCGTTCTGGTGTCTCTCTCGTCTCTCGAGTCAGTGTCCTGTAACAGCAACGGCCATGAGATTCTGCGAGCAGACAGAGGAAGACTCTGTATGGCAGCAACAGTAGCCCCCAGCCCGCCTTGTCTCTGTCCAGCCCCTGAGCTGGCGCTGCTGCAGCCCATCCTCTGGCCCCTGACACCCTCCGGGGCAGCAAGGAGGGCACCATGGCTTTGCCTGTGGTGGTGGTGACTGCCTGGAACCCTGGCACTGGACCACCCCTCACATAATCTCACCCAATCCTATGCTTGGTAAGGCGGGCATGATCGTCCTCGTGTTACAGGTGCAGGAAGCTGAGGCCCAGAGCACTGGGTGCCTTTCCTGAGGTCACAGAGCCAGGAAGTGGCCGGGCAGAGATTTGGGCCCTTGCCTACCCCTGGATGCATGGGCACTGACGATTCTGCTTCTCAGGACTCTGGGGCTCCCGAACCTGGACCCGGTGAGGCGTCACCGAGGCGATGCCTGCTTCCCATGAAGCTGCAGGTGAGCGTGAGCTGTGCCGAAGACGTCAACACAGGGCGATTTTGTTACAAACAACAGCTGCTCTCAGGGGAGGCCCATGGCACATGGCACACAGCCTCCCACAGCACACTGGCCTCCCATGGCCCACAGCCCACGGCACACCGGCCTCCCATGGCAGAGCCCCCTGAAGCTGCACCTGAGGAAACCCAGGACTCTTGGAACATAAACGAGGGTGAGGGTGAAGAAGGCAGAATGGCTCTGGAGCCCACTGGGGGTCCGGTCAACCGCTGGGGGCCCGGTCATCCACACACACACCTTGAAGCTGACCTCGGAGGCCTCGACAGGCGGTGGCCGGGGCACGGACGAGGGGTCTAGGACCCTGGCACTTGGGAAGCCTAAAAGCAAACGAGGTTAGGGTCTGGTGAGCTTGTGCTAGGTGGAACCAGGAGCCGCCCTGAGGCTGCCCCTGTCCCACACCCCGCGGTTCCCGTCAGTCCTGGGGACGAGGCTGGGGCCTGCCCCAGGGGGAATCTGCCTTCCTAAAGAAGCAGTGGGTGGAGAGCCACATCTGGGGCTAGTTTTCTGTGAGATGATCTTTAGCATGTTTCATTCCCGTTGTCTAAGGAGTCTCCGGGTTAGGCTGGGGCCCTGTGTCCACAGCGCACCTGCCAGCCTTCACGCCTTTCCCCCATCATGCAGCACATGCCTTCATGGGTTCTAAGGTGATCGTCGGTAATCGCCATTGAGGCACCCCATAATAGTCTACCTGGTGGACGCTCTGGAATGTAAACCTTCATCAGACAGCTCCATTTTCCAGGCATTTGTTTGTTTTATGAGTGGCTATGGTGGATTCCCAGGGCTGCCATGCCCAGCCCCACAGGCGGGGGTGTTGAGCAGCAGACACGTGCTCTCCCTCGCCCTGAAGGCTGGAAGTCTGAAATCGAGGTGTTGGCAGAGCCAGGCTCCCCTGCAGGCACAAGGGCATGGTCTGTTCCAGGCCTCTCTCTCAGCCCTGGTGGTCCCTTGGCTTGGGGGAGCGTGACTGTAACCTTCCCACCACGTTCTCTCTGTGGACATGGCTGGGTCCAAACATCCACCTTTTATGGGGACACCGGTCATGTTGGATTAAGGGCCTGCCTGACTCTGATGGACCTCATCTGAACTAATTACCCCTGCAATGACCCTACTTCCAAGTCAGGTCACATTCTAAGGTCCTGGGGATTAGGGCTTCAATGTATGCATTATAGGGGGAAGCAGTGCCGCCTGTAAGCGACAGGTCCACACACGCCCGGCATCCTTGGGGCACTCCGGGACCTGAAGCTGTCCAAGCAAAGCCCGTGGGTCTTCCTGGCGACTACTGCCAGCGGTAGGGAGGGCCCCCAAGACGCACCAGCGCGTGAGGGGAAAGGGTCTTAGCGGGAAGCTTGGTAAACGGTGCGGTGAGCAATGGATTTCTTTTGGGGGGAAAACACAGAAGAGAGAGATAAAGAATCGATGTAGAGTGAACATGTGGCTTTTTAAGTTCTGTTCTTCACACAGTGCAAGTTCAGCAAACCACTTAAAATTCCCATTAAGCTGACAAGTATGCTCAGAAATAGAAAAATGATTTTCATGGCGTTTCCTGCTCAGGCCCGCCCACTCAGCTGAGATGACAACACGCCACCAAGAATGCAATTCCAGCCGGGTCTCCCCACGGCATTTTGTCATGTCGAGAATGACACCCAGGACAGGCTGTGCCTGGCCTGTAGTAGGACTCTGAACAACATTTGTTGCATGAATGAATGAATGAAGGTATGAATGAATGAATGAAGATATGAGGTGCAAAGAGGCTCGGCTCCCACGTGGTTCGTTCTGGGAGCCAGAGGGTTCTGGCACACTGGACAACAGCAGTGTGGGGGAGGGTGGGGGCTGGCATGGGGGAGGGTGGAGGACCTGCGTGGGGGAGGGTGGAGGACCTGCGTGGGGAAGGGTGGAGGACCGGCGTGGGGGAGGGTGGAGGACCGGCATGGGGGAGGGTGGAGGACCGGCATGGGGGAGGGTGGGGGCCGGCGTGGGGGACGGTGGGGGCTGGCATGGGGGAGGGGGGGGGGCCAGGGTGGGGGAGGGTGGGGACTCGCTGCACCTTTGCACTAGCACCACGGGAAGTGCTGGACCCCGTGTTCTGCCATTTCCAGCAACATCTTCTGTGGGACCAGAGCACAGCCAGAGGGAAGTGATAGTGAAGAGGCCCAAATGCCCATCACCAGAGGGATGGGAGAAAGAAGGTCTGGGGGCCAGGCTGCTGCCTGCACATAGCTGAAGAGCGGCCATGTGGGGATGGGGGCCCCAGGACATCACCTGTGGCTCTCTGGACACAGCCAGGACTGGTGCATGGATGTCCTGGGAAGGCAGACAACAGTCAGAGCCGTGCAAGTGTGGAAGAGAGTCCTCAGGAGGTAGTGAGCACCCCATCCCTAGAGGCGTGTAAGTTCAGTCTGATCAGCCAACAACTAGGAATTTGTGTAAAGCACCAATGGGAGCAAAGTTGGATTTGGGACCATGTAAAGTCACAGCCAAATGGTACAAGGCTGAGGGGGCCAGCTGCTGGGGGTCTGTTGCTCTGAGCCCCCTCGGGGAAGCTCAGCCCTGTGACCACACTGCTCCCTTCATTCCCCCACCGGAGGTTCACAGCCACGTACCCCAGCCTGGCAGGCATCACTTCTCCTATTTCATGGAAGAGAAAGCTCCGTTCCTGGGAGCACTGGGCAAAGGCCCTGTTGGGATGCCCAGCACCCTGTCCACTCCTGCCTTCTGTCTCCCCAGTCAGAGAGACTGGGCAGGAACTCAGAGGCCAGAGATGCCCACATGGCCTCCCCCGCCAGGCCTGTGGCCAGGCCAGCCCAGCCAGCAGTGGGATGCCAAGGTCTGTGGGAGGCCAGGTGTAAAAATCCCGGGAATGATGATTGTTTCAGTCTGTCTGGACCGCAAAGCCTGACTGCGCTCCCGCCCGCTCTGTTCCTCCCAGTGCCACGGGGCGGATGGGCCAGGGCTGCTGATTGGTTGCCGGACTCCACCCTCCCAGCGGTGGTGAGATCATGAGGCTCATCCATACGTCCTGTCAGCTCCCCAGATATAATGGGGAACAGATGGTCCCCAGGGGCCCAAGTGGGAGCGCATGTGGCTGCAGCCGCCCAGCTCAGCTGCCCACGGGCACCTGTGGGTGAACATGGATCCTTACGCAAGACGATTCTGCCAGCTACTGGAAGCTTCCATGTGCCAACTCCCTGCAGGGCCTCCACAGGAGCCTAGCAAGGGGAATGACGTCTCCATTGTAGACCAGGGACCAGGCTTTTGGAGAGGCCAGGCAGCTGGCCAGCACGCAGATGCTAGGAGAGAGGGCACAGTCACGCTCACTTCCAGGGGGTGTAAGGCCGGCACACGCTGCTCTAGTGGCCCTTAGACACTTTTCTCCTGGCGACACGTGCCGGCTCAGACCCTGACACCCTGACACCCTGACTCGGTGATGCAGCTCCCGAAATGCAAGGCCTGGCCATGCCCCGTCCTGGCTGGACTGGAGGAACCGATGCCCAGCCGGGGTTCCCAGGCATCTGGCAGCAGCTTCCTTTCTCCTTTCTCCCTGTCACAGCGGGCCACCGTGAGGAACAAGCAGGCGGTGTGGGACAGAGGCAGGAGAAAAGTGCTAAGGAGAAGATGGGGGGGTGTGGAGGGTGATCAAGGTAGGGGGACGTCGGGACAAAGGCCTAAGCGAGAGGTGGAGCCCGCTGTGGGGGCTGAGCCAAGAGTCTTGGGCAGAGGGCACAGCTGATGCCAAGGCCCCGCAGCAGGAGGCCTGGGATGTGTTTGAGGAACAGCAGGCAATAGGCTCCCTCCCCGACTGGGAGCCCAGGCAACTAGGGATGTATTGGTTTCCCGTGAATGCTGTGACAGACCTATTCCTGGATGGCTTCAAACAACAGAAGTGTGTCCTCCCACCGTTCTCGAGCCCGAGGTCTGACGTAGGCATCACTGGGCTGAAACCTCTGGGCCGCGCCCCCTCCGGAGGCTCCAGTGGAAAATCACTCATCTCTGCCTCTGTGGCCACACGGCCTCCTCTCCTGTAGGAGTCCCTCTTCCTCTGTCTCCCTCTCACAGGGACACTGGAGATTGCATTTTTGGGTGCTTCTGGATAATCCCGGATAATCTCCCCATCTCAACAACCTTCACTTAATCGCAAACATTCTCTCTCCACACCAGGCAGGATTTGCAAGTTCCAGGGATTCTGCTGGGCATGTCTTTAGGGGAACCATTTTTCAGATGACAAGCCCCCTGCAGGGAGGGGCTGTCTCCCCAATGCCGAGTCCCAACACGGCCGCAGCAGGTGCCCGGTAAGCTCTGGAGAAGAGAAGGGTGAAGGGATGAGCGTGGCACAGCCAGCTTACAGCCAGCACGGAAGAGTTCAGAGACCTGGTCTCCATGCAGCACCCCCGCCCCCCCACCCCTGCCACTGCCTGTGCTGGCAGGCTGCCCACTCTCGGGCAGGGAATCACCATGCACAGCCCGGGGCCCACCCTGCTGTGTGGCCCACAAGGGCCGTTTCTCCTTTCCGTGCCCCTTTTCTTGTCTCTACAAGGCACTAAGATAGGAGTGTTGTTGGCCGAGTCCCTTGGAGTGAGCCAGACGGTCCCAGGCAGCAGAGCACTCCCGGCCAGGCCGCGGCAGAAGTCGACGCCAAGGGCATGAGCAGCAGTCAGGTCCCGTTGCCTGGGGCCGTATCACAAGCGTGAGGAAAGCAACCATCATGGAAGGCAGTGGATGCCTCGCGTGGGCATCTCAGCCACGCTTCCCAGGGGTCCTTTCCATTCCGCTCCCCTCGCGTGGGCATCTCGGCCATGCTTCCTAGGGGTCCTTTCCATTCTGCCCCCACCAACACCAACACCCAGAGTGCAGACAGAGGCTGGTGGGGCATCATGCAGACCGACTCAGATATCATTCGGGTCACTCCTTAAGAAAACAATGCAAAATTATGAGTGCAGAATTGAGAACAAAGGTGAACATTTACTTACAAGTAGAAAGAATCACAAAATGTCACACATTTATAAAAATTAACAAACAGTGTGCATATTGAAAATGCGACGTGCTACTTCTTACCTGCCTGGCAAGTGGTAAAGTGGATTTCTCAGGGCTCTGCCCTGTGTGCCTCTGTCTGCCCCCACGAGACGGTGCCGTGACATCATTCTCTAAGTAAACACTGGAAAGATATTATTAGTTCCAGCTTCCCTTACGGTGAGGCTGAAAGCTGTTTTTGACTCCTGATGGTTTTTTAAAGCTGTTTTCTTTTCGTTTTGACTTCACAACTCATTACTAATAATGGCACGAAAGCTGTTCTGTGTTTTCCAGTGTATTCACCCGGTTCATCCTGCCTACTAATGGCTTCCCTCCATAAGCCAAGAGCTGTTCTTTGCTTCTATTCAAAACCTGTCCCCTGGGCCCAGAGCGGTGGCTCACGCCTGTCATCCCAGCACTTTGGGAGGCCAAGATGGGCAGATCACCTGAGGTCGGGAGTTCAAGACCAGCCTGGCCAACATAGTGAAACCCCATCTCTACTAAAAATACAAAAATTAGCCGGGCGTGGCGGTGTGTGCCTATAATCCCAGCTACTCGGGAGGCTGAGGCAGGAGAATCGCTTGGACCCAGGAGGCAGAGGTTGCAGTGAGCCAAGATCACACCACCGCACTCCAGCCTGGGTGACGAGTGAAACTCCATCTCAAAAAAAACAAAAACAGAAACAAAACAAAACAAAACCGTCCACTGAAGAACGGCCGCTCCAAGTGCCATCTGAGTGCGTTCTTTCCGTGACCGTTCCCTTCTCTGAGCGGGAATGGCTTCTTTCAGCTTCCTTGATCACCTTTTCTTGCCTTTCTTGCGCATTCTTGCCATTTTATCTGACTTTTTTCTTGGCTCTTTAAGAGATAAATTTAAAGCTGACAATAGAGCCCCTTTGATGTGAACTGAAGCCGCGGGTCTGTGATTCCTCACCTGAGTCACTGAAACACTCCAAACTGTCTGGGCAAATTAGAGTGCAGAGGGCACGCTGGAGCGCTACCTGCTGTGTGAAGCCTCTTGCCTCATCCTGTCCGTCTGTCTGTGGCGCCCAGGTGTCGGAGCGTCTACCGAGGAGCTCTGGCACGTGGAGCATCGCGGCCTGAGCAGCTCTGTGGGGAGTGGGGCGTCCCAGCCCATCCGTCAAGTCTTCTAGAAGAACCCGAGTTGGCTAAGTGCTCCACCATGTGGGACAGCAGGTCGGCAGGAGCCGGGTCCAGGCCCCCGCCCAGCACAGGGCCTGGTCCAGAGCGGCTGGCAGCCTCCCCGGGGCCGGGCTCCTCTCCTCACTGCGGCGGTTTCTCGGGAGGGTACAGCCTCGGTCCTCACCTCTGTCCACAGCCACCTGCCCGACCTCGACAGCTTCACTTTGCTGAATAAATCCGATGGTTTTCATCGGCAGGGCATGGACACTCACACTTTCTGCAGCACAGCGGCACACAGTAACTGTCACTGCCCCGTCCGTGTCGGTCCCACCCAGGTGACAAGGTCTTCCAGGCATCAGGCAGGGGTCTGGCCCCCTTCCCAGGAGGAAAAACTGGGGTACATGGGCACCCTGCTCCCTGGGTGGAGGGACTGGCGGTTACATTTCTGCCACCGGAAGGGATCTCAGGCAGGAGCCCCCCTCCTGCAGGAACACGCTGGGGGCGGGACACAGCCTGAACTGGGGATCTCTGAGGAAGAAGAAGGGAGACGTCCCTGGCATGATGAAGGAACATGGGCATGAGGAGAACAGGCGTGGGTGCTAATCCCAGCCATACTGCCACCCAGCCTGGTCACCCCAGGCAGCTCCCCTTGCCTCTCTGTTCTTATCATCCTCTGGTGTGAAGTGCAGCTCAGAGCATGAGCTGGCAAGGTGCAGCCCGGGTTAGGAGGCGGGTCCAGTGGCTGGCGCTCCTGCAGGCTTGGCTGCAAACCAGAGGCTGCTGTTTTGGGTCCCAGAATCCTAGCACAGATCACAGAGCACTGGCTGGTTCCTTGCCTTCCACCCAAATGGTGCAGCCTGCCCTCCAGCCCAGGTCTGGGGACCACATGAAGCAGCTGCCCTCCTGGCAGCCCGGCGGGGCTGGGACCAGCGGCTCCGTTCCTCACCCGTAAGTGCGTGAAGATGCCACAATCCGCAGCTCTGCTGGGCTTCTCAGGAGCACCGAGGCACGGGACCAACACCTGGGGTGAGTCCACCCTGTGCCCCTGGCCTCCCTTGGCTTGGCTGTTCCCTGGACACAAGGGGGAAGGCAGGGCAGGGCTGGACACAACCCCACCTTCATGGCCCGAGGGCCAGGCCTGCCACCCTGGGGAGAATCCAGTAGCCTCAAGACATCTGACTGCAGGTCATCTACCGGTTGGAAATTTAAGCCTGGGGAGGCCGTAGCTGGAAGATGCTCTCTGTCTGTCTCCCAGCCCTGTCCGCGGGGAGGGTTCCTCGGCAGCCCCCGTCACAAAGCCAGGCTCCAGAATGGGAAGATGGGAAGGAGGGAGAAAACAGGCCCCAAATGTCGCCTTTCATCCCTCATTCGCTCAACCCCTTGTCTATTCATGTAGCTGAATAAAGCCCTCCCTGTAATGACGTCCATGTCCTAATCCCTGGAACCTCGTACCTCCCGTGGCAAAAGGAACTTTGCGAAGCGAATTCGGACATGAGGTGAGGACATGGCCCTGGGTTATCCAGACGGCCCAGCCATCACCAGGCTCTGTGCCCTCACCCCTCCCCAGCCATTGGGATATGAAGCTGCATCGGGGCAAGTGCTCTCGGGGCTAGGAGAAGGGTGCAGGAAGGCTTCCTGGAGGCAGTGACCCCTGAGCAGAAGTCGGAAGGATTGTAGGACTAAGGTGAGAAGAGCCATGAGGGGGAATATTCCAGCGGGAAGCCCACCACAGATGTGCGGGGCAGGGGCAGGGCCACGTGCCTGTGTTTCGTTATGAGCCTTAATACCAATATTGAACCAGGCACATGCAATCCTTTGATACAGATACAGTATTTAAAGCAAAACAGGAAGGAAGGAAGGAAGAGAGGAAGGGAGGGAGGGAGGCAAGAAGGAAGGGGGATGGGAGAGAAGAAAGCGGGTGTGTTGCACATTTGGGGGGATGCACGGGATGGAGGCTGCTGCGAATCCGCATGACCATGGCCGGGAGCAGAGGCACGGGGCCTGAGGGTGCCTGGCCGGCATCTGTCCAGGGTGAGGGGAGAGACTGCTGCCAAGTGTGGACCTGTCCAGTTCTAGCAGGTTCCTTTCGAACCCCTGTGGGCTGGGCTTTTGGACTCTCTGACTTGGAATGCAGGGATGTGGGAATGATTAGCAGTCAGCCCTCAGGTGTCCACCGTGCATCAGGTGGCCCCGGCCCCTCACCCCAAACTCCTCTCAGCATCAAAGAACAAACGCAGCCCACCAGAGACACACCGCAGAACCCCAGGTGCTTCAGAGAGCGTCGGCCTGGGCCGTGACCCGCCCGAGGATAGAGGCCTTCAAAGACGCAGGTGGGCCCCGAGGGCGGCCAGGCACAGATTGGCGCAAGATGGGCCCACCTGTCTGAGGAGCTGCAGGATCCTGGAAGGTCCTGGAAGCGTGGGCAGAGGGCCAGGCTGTCTCTCGTCCCCGCCGCACCTGAGGGCTCTACCTCTGGTGACAGCATCCCCGGCACTCCGGGTGCCCTGGGGAGGGGCCGGGCTGGAGACCACAGAGGGTGGGTCAGAGCACAAAGCTGTGTTGGGGGGCTGCAGCTGTGAGGGGCCTGACCTCCAGACCACCTGAGCCTTGCTTCCTTGGCCTCTGTGGTCCCCAGGGTTCCGGACAGTGACCCAGTGGCAAATCCCCTCTACCTGTCTCCAAAGCTTGCACCAGCCCACAAGTCCTGGCAAGGCGGGGCTCTCAGAGATGCCAGGAGGGGAAAGCCGGTGGGAGGTGTGGCGGCTGAGGTGCTTGATGCTCTTTCTGCTGGAAGGTCTGACCGCTGCCTTTGAGAGGACAAGTAGGTGCTGCGTTACGGGGGGTCTTGGGTGCCTGTGGCCGGGGGCAGCTGTGCGAAACCCCACTCTGCAGTCCTCCCTCTGCACATCTCCGTGACAAGCACGGTGGGTCCTGAGCACGAGCTTTGTGGCCAGGCTGCCTGGCTTGCATTCAGCCTGGGCCACTCGCTGGCTGTGTGGCCTTGGGCAAGCGGCTTGCCCTCTCTGTGCCTCAGTTTCCTTGTCTATACAGTGGGAATCATGACAGCATCCACCCCCAGGAGTTTGCCATAAGAATTAAACAAATCCCTGTAGAATCTTGAGCAACGTACGAAGCGTCCACTCCACAGTGGGGGTCAACACCGTTGCCGTGAATGGCTGATTTGCTGACAGCTTCCGCTACACAAACCCTCTTCATTTCATTCCATCATCCCAGCCACCCGCTGCCCATGGGCATTACCACCTCTGCAATTCGTGAGCCAAAACCAAAGCTCAAAGGCTATGTGGCAGGGACCGGAACAGATATGTGTTACGTACCTGACGGGGGAGATGTCATCCTGCCAGCACCGTGCAGGCTGCATCCAGACAACCCCCGACCCACCGCTGCACGGAGGAGGCCACTGAAGCAACACACTTAGAGTCAGGCAGCGACACCCAGCAGCTCCGAGCTGTCTCCACGCTGGAATTAACTGGGAATTGAAACAGTCGTGCAGGTTTGTCTAAGGAAGCTCCTTTCTCTGGCCTTCCCGTTGTTCTGGGAAACATGCTCTGGTTTTCTTTTGCAGTCTGTTTCCCTACAACACAGCTGGGGCATCTGGAAGTCTAGGAGTGGGGTTAGGGAGTGGGGAGCAGAATAGGACCTGGAAGAGACAGAGTGCAGACCTTCCCAGGGAGACTGCAGTTCCACCCAGGAAGGCCCGAGGGCCAGGAAAGCCTTGGAATACAGGGAGGTAGGATCTGAACTCCACAGATGGCAACTTGACCCCTTCTTGGGGGTGCACAGGGGCTGCCACAGCCATGGCCTCACAGCGTCTGTCCAGGCTGAGAGAAGAAGGAGTGTGTCCATTATACAGGAGAGAAAACCGAGGCTCAGCGACATGAAGGGCTCACCCAGCTCCCTTGACCCTAATGTCTCACTTCACCACCGGGTCTCTGCTGCCCCAGTCCCAGACAGGACCTCTGCTCGCCCTGGCCCTATGTGGGAGGGGCCCAGACTGGGAAACAGGGAGGAGAAGTTTAAGGATGTGTTAGTACCCTGTGGATGCCACAGCAAATTATCACAAACCAGGGGACTTTCAACAAGAACTCAATTCTCACAGTTCTGACAGCCGGAAGTCTAAAATCCAGGGGTGGCAAGGCTGTGCTCCCTCCTGAGGCTCAGAGGAGGCTCCTTCCTGCTGGTTCCAGGTCTTGGTAGCTGTGGGCATCCCTCAGCTCGTGGCCACATCACTCATCTCTGCTTCCATCTCCACATGGCCTCCGCCCCTTTTCTCTCTGTCTCTCCTGTCCAAGGAGAGGACAAGAGTCTGCCATAGGATTCTGCTGCTTGTCTCACCAAGAGGCAGGGTCCATCTTCCCACTCCTTGTTGCGGGGGTGGCCGCGGCTGGCTATGACCTGGACCAGTGGTGGAGGCACTGTTCGCTTCCAAGGAGAGCCTGAGAAGACTTTGCTGTTCTTCCTCTCCCTGCCTGTCCCACCTGAACACCTCAGTTCAGAGGTGAGGTGGATGCAGTGGCCCAGCGTAGGAAGCCACCGAGGGGCAAGGAGGGTAACTCATGGGTGCTGGTGGGCAGCCTGGCAGGTGAGGAGAAGCAGCAGGTCGAGGGTGGAGGCTCTGGCCCAGTGCAGTGGGTTGGTTCTGGCTGGATGAGAAGGGTGCCTGCCCATGGAGTGGTGCAAATGACAGCCCAGCGCAGGGTCTGAGAGCCCAAGCACAGAGCCGGGTTTCCCCCACGGCATGGGGGCAAGAGTCGGGAGCTAGGGAGACTGAATTCCCTTGGGGGAATAACCAAATAAATAAATATGTTGAGGACAATGAAAGCCAGGTTTCTTGCTGGAAAGGAAGTTACAGACACAGAGAAAGGGAGAAAACAAGAACTACCCCTGCAGTGCTGGATTTGAACAGGGTCCTTGGTGTGAAGGCACGGTAGTAACACAGATAGATGCTGAAATACACAGAGATGCGTGTGCACATAAACGCATGTATATGTGTACTTGTACCTATGTAAGTAAACACACATACATTTCCTACCTCTGCTCATGGAGATGCCTCGGAGCAGCAACACCCCAACAGCCATGAGCATGTTTAGCCCCCAGATCTTGGTTTCTAATCACCGCCCTCCCTTAAAAAGAACCAAGATCCTTGGAGAAATGTCTGATCCTGACACTGGGCCAGGGACAGGACAAAGGTAAATTGGACTCACCCTGCTGTGTTAGAAAGTAAAGACACAGGCCCAGCGAGGCGGCTCATGCCTGTGATCCCGGCACTTTTGGAGGCCAAGGCAGGTAGATCCCTTGGGCCCTGGAGTTTGAGACCAGCCTGGGCAACATAGCAAAACCATGACTCCACAAAAAATAGAAAAATTAGCCAGGCATGATGGTGTTCACCTATGATCCCAGCTACTCAGGAGGCTGAGATGGGAGGATCACTTGAGCCTGGGAGGTAGAAACTGCAGTGAGCAGAGATTGTACCACTGCACTCGAGCCTGGGCAACAGAGTGAGACCCTGTCTCAACAACAACAACAACCATCAAGATAATAAAGACAGGCCGGGCACGGTGGCTCATGCCTGTCATCCCAGCACTTTGGGAGGCTGAGGCGGGTGGATCACCTGAGGTCAGGAGTTGGAGACCGGCCTGACCAACATGGAGAAACCCCACCTCTACTAAAAATACAAAATTAGCTGGGTGTGGTGGTGCATGCCTGTAATCCCAGCTACTCAGGAGGCTGAGTCTGGAGAATCGGTTGAACCCAGGAGGCAGAGGTTGCAGTGAGCCGAGATAACACCATTGCACTCCAGCCTGGGTGACAAGGGCAAAACTCCATCTCAAAAAAAAAAAAAGAGAGAGAAAGAGATAATAAAGACATGCTCAAGGAATGAGAGGGATGTGCCGCACGGACACAGGGGCCACCGTGAAGGGGCTCCTGCTGACCAGATGGAGGACGACTTAAGCAGGAAAATGATGCTGGTGATGGATTAGCACCGACAGGTGAAATAGGAATCCAGGGGACCCTACTTTCCTAAATTAATGAATGGTTAACTGTAAGCAGGATGAGGAATGGGACATTCACATAGTCCCAGAGCACTTCCCTACAAATTACTTGTGAATTACAAAAAGAAAAAAAAAAGAGTATAGTGGGGATGGCTGACAGACACTACCTTAATTAATCTAGTGATCAAAGTTAATATCCCCAGTAATGGGACAAATGCCATTGGTGAGCCACATGGTCAGGTGCAATGAGAACAACACAGCATCCTGCCTGTGATGTTCCTGCCAATGATGTGAAAACCTGAATCTACTCAGGAGGATGTGTCAATCATTCCCAATGCTGGAACTCAGACAAATAATCCTGTCATGAGTAGCCTTGTGCAGAAATTGCTTTGTGACCTTGCCAGCGTGTCTTTGGAGTACATTCCTAGAAGTGGCATTGCTGAGTGAAAGGGTGAGTGTACTTGTACTTTTGCTGGAAATTCAGCAATGCATTTAAAAGCATACCTACTGTAATTCATCTACCATTGGGAACTCTGCAATGACGGTCCTTCTCTGAATAGCTCCTCTGTGAATCTGCTGGAATGGAAATCTCTCTCGTACTCTTGTCTAACAACCGTTTCTTCAATAGTTGAAACTCCAAACAGGCAAACCAAGAATCCAGGCCTTTATTTGTCCTCAATCACTGTAATTTTCCTGTTTTAGCCTCCTATGGCTGCCATAACAAACACCACCAACTAGGTGGCTCAAACAACAGAATTTGATTGTCTCACAGTTCAGGATGCCAGAAGTCAGAAACTTTGCAGCAATAAATTACTGCCTAACCTTATAGATTTACCTCTTGGAACTTGTTCTGCAGTGGGCAAGTTATGCAAACCTACCCCAAAAGTCCAAGAAAGCAGACAGGCTGACATACCCAGTTTCTCAGAAAGGAACATTTAACAGAGACTGGGCAACAGAAGCTGCATCTGTGTCTCAGTGGGGGCCGCAAGACAAGAGGGTGGCTCCCTGAACCGTGACCTCAGACCCAGGGGTTATATGCCACAGGGAGAGGGTAGACGTGCTCCAGAAGGGATGTGTAGGACAATTGCTCTAAGGGCAAGATTTATGGTAAGCGCAAGGAACAATAGAGAAACTGGAGATCTTAGAGACCTTCCTGGAACCAGAGTGAGTGAGAAGTCAACGTGGCAGATTAGCATCTAAGACGGAGTTCCTTCAGCCTCCACAGTACCGAAGGCTGGGGAAGGTTTTCCCTCTGGGGAAGGTTTTCCCACTTACTCTGTGTCCTGAGCAGGAAGTGTTGTGGGTTGCATTTTGTCTCTCCAAAATTCATATGTTGACATCCTAACCCCCAGGACCTCAGAATGGGACCTTATTTGGAAACAGGGTCACTGTCAATGTAGTTAAGATGGGGTCACACTGGCGCAGGTGGGCCCTAATCCAGCATGACTGGCGTCTTCCTAAAAAGGGGGAAATCTGGTTACAGACACACACAGGAGATGCCAGGTAAAGATGAAGACACAAGTTGGGGTGATGCCTCCTCAAGCCAAGGAACATGGGGGACCACCAGCCGCCCCAGGAGCCGGAGCGAGGCTGGGAACAGATTCTCCCTTGCAGCTTCAGAAGGAACCAGCAAAGGGCTGCATACCTTTCGCTATGGCATCTAAGTGCTGGGTCAGGGGGTTCTGGTGTAGGGAGCCACCATCTTGCATCACCACCATCCAACACACAGATGCGTCTTATGTCCCTAAGGCTATGTTAAATGTTCCTTTCTCAGAAATGGGATATGTCAGCCTCTCAGCTTTCCCAGACTTTTGGGGGAGGTTTGCATAGACCTGCCCACTGCAGAACAAGTTCTAAGAGGTAAATCTATTGGGTCATAGCAGTAATTTATATCTGCAGGAAAAACCACCGTTGACTTAGTGGGCTCTGCTCCCAGGCAGAGCTAGGGGGAGCTGGCCTGGCAGGAATGTCACCATGGCAATGCTCTTCACCGCAGCAGGGGAAATTCCTTCCTCCTTCTGTTAGTGGTATCCCTACGCTCACTGGGCCAACCTCCTGGCCCTTCAGAAACAGGCATAGCCCACAGGCCCTCAGTCATCGGGGGCCCAACTCCACCGCCCCTCTTCTGAGCTGCCTAGTTGGAGTAATTCCTTCTGCTTCGCCATGTTTTCCCAGCCCTGGGGTGGCAGCGGCTTCCCAAGGTTGCTACTCCATGGCGTCTCAGAGTCCCTCTGCCTTTCCATCCCTCAATACCAAGCTACCCCTTCTCTACACGGGACTCTCTGTTAGAACGATGGGTGGTTTCTGTCTCCTGAGGGGACCCCGAACAAGAAAAGTGATGGGGAAAGGGGTCTGAGTCCCGTGAGTTCGGAACATGCCAGGCTGGGCTCACTGCAGTGAAGGCCGTCTCTGCAGGGAGGTCAGGGCGGTTAATTTGCTCAGGGTCGACACAGATCTCTAGTGGTGGGGATGGGCCCAGTGTATGGCATCTCCCAGGCTTCAGCAGCCACAGGGTCCTTTTTTCAGAGAAGCCTTGCAGGAATGATGTTCCAGAGAACATCTTGGAACTCAGATCATCAAGAAGAGATGGGTTAGAACAGCACCAAATATTCAGCTTTGAATCCATTCAGCGTTTTCTGCTCGAGTAGTGAGGCCCTGACGATCTGTGAGCCAGAGAAGCTTTCAAAGCCCTTTCTCTCTGAAGTGAGGAAGGCTGTACCCGGGGCCACGAGGACCCCATAAGGCTGAATGACTGAACCCACACTGGGGTCAGCAGCGTCACAGATGTTTTTTGTGACCCTCAGCCACTTTGAGGCTCCATTTGACGGCTATGCAAGCCTCGGCCCAGCACAGAGGGCTGCCTCGAGGCGAGATGGAAACTGGGAAAGGGATGGAGTCCAAGCTCGGATCCCAGCCCAGGGTGCCTTCTGGGGTGAAGCAGGGAAGGACAAGGTCTGGTTATGGCCGTATGGCCTCTGCTCCCCGCTTCTCCAGAGGAGAGTGGACAGGTTGAGATTTCCAAGAGAAAATGCTTTCAGCAAGAGGCAATTGCTTCCCTATCAACCCTAGGCTTTCAGGAAACCTGCACCTGCCAACACCTTTTGCTGTGGCTGATTTCACTGAAGATGAGACCCCCAGCTCTGGATCTGGTGTTTGTTAGCGCAGCCGGCCCTGGACAACTGCCGAGCAGAGCTGGGCCCCCTTCCAGGGACAGCAGAAAATGCTCAAGGCTGCTTACAAAAGCAAACTCAGGCCAGGCGCGGTGGCTTATGCATGTAATCCCAGCACTTTGGGAGGCCGAGGCGGGCAGATCACCTGAGGTCAGGATTTCGGGACCATCCTGGCCAACATGGTGAAACCCTGTCTCTGCTAAAAATACAAAAATTAGCCAGGCTGGTAGTGTGTGCCTGTAACCTCAGCTTCTCGGGAGGCTGAGGCAGGAGAGTCGCTTGAACCCGGGAGACAGGTTGCAGTGAGCCGAGATCATGCCATTGCACTGCAGCCTGGGTGACACAGCAAGACTCTGTCTCAAAAAAAAAATAAAAAAAGTAAACTCAAGGTGAGCTGGGCCGCACCCGAGTCCCTGCCAGGGCTATGTAACCCTGGGTCTGCAGGTCACTCTGCCTCAGGCTCAGTCTTCATGACTGTAAAATGGGCTGAATAATTCCTCACCTGTTAGAGAGCAAAGAGCTAAGCCACAGAGCACCTGAGAAGGATGCCAGCAGCCTTCAGGTGTGGCCTGTATGTCCTCACGATCCAACAGCTCTGGGGGCAGGAAGCACATATTTTAAAGATATAAAGGTATTTCAAAGAAATGATGATAAACTACCCAGATGTCTCCCTCTGGTTCCTCCAAGAAAACACATGACAGTAAAATCGCTCTAAGCAAACTGAATCTTGGTGCAGGGAGCCAGCTTTCTCTCCATCTGAAGACACTTTCTCCTAAATATTAAGATCATTAACACGTTTCCAGACAGGAAGAATGTACTGTTGTTAGCTTTAGACAAACATTATGCTAATTTCAAATCTAGAGCCAAAAACATGCTCCCACCACAATGTGGACGTCTTATTTGTCTTGGTTTCCTCCCATGTCTGATCAGCAGATGGAAACGCAAGTGCTTCAGCTCCTAAGGGGCGCTACGGACTGCCAGAAGGTAATCAAAACCACAGGCTACAGATGATGTGGATGGGGAGGAATTCCGCTCTTCTGGGCAAACTCCGGGTTTGGCTCCTCCTGCCTCGATTTCCTCCTTCCTCTGCCTGTTACCTTTCCTGCCTCAGGGGGTCCTCAGCTAACTTCCCGGTATTCTCTTCTCTCGAGACCCCAATGTCCCTCCACTCTGGTCACCTCCGTCTTTCACAATACAGCAGAGGTAGCTCCTCTCCCTTGTCGTTCCTTCCCCCAGCCCTTCTGGCTTGAAATGCTTTTACTTCCCCGGGCCCATCTAGAATGACAGCAACTGCATGTGCCTGGCTCTGTGCTCTGGGGGCTGGGGCCCAGCATGGGATTAGGTCAGCCTTCAGGCTAGTCCAAGTGAGTGGAGGTGGGAGCCAGGGACTGGTGATCCGAGGGGGACTCGTGCCAAGGACCATGATGGGACAGAGCAGAGGTGGCAGATTTTGCCCAAGGAGGCCCGAGAATCTCCAAGTGAGATGTAAACGCTGCCCACAATGTTTAAGACATCATTTAACAAAGAGTCGGTGCCCTAGGGTGCAGGCAAGTCCCAGCGTGGCAGGGAGGAGGCACCGAGGCTTGGGGTTGTGAGTCAGCCCAGACCAGCTGCAGGACACAAAGCAGGTAGGGAGGGACTTGCCAGAAGAGCTGGAGAGGAGGGAATGCCTGAGGCAGAGGGGCTGCTGCCAGGTTCAGGAACCCATTTGCTGGGCCATCTTGGGCAAATCACTCCACCTCTCTGGGACTCTGCGTCTGCACTTCTAAATGAAGACAGCACGGTGGCCTCACAGGCCAGCTGAAGAACACGAGTGAGGTCACGGCCACGAGTGCCACATGGGAATGGCCCTGGCTGTCTGCTCCCTGCCCCGTTCCAGAAACCAGCCTGATGACTGGCCAGTCAAAGGAAGAGAGGGAGGAAGGAGGAAGAAGGAGAAAAGGAAGGAAGGCAGACAGGAGAGAAGGAGGAGGGGAGGGCGAGAAGGTGGGAAGGACAGAGGGAGGGAATATGTGTTTTTCTTTTGCAGAGACTATAGAGCTGCTTAGACCACTTGAGATGCAAAACCCAAGCCACACTTCGGGGTAAACTCTTCCAAAAAGTGTTTGTTTGGGAAAAAAAAAAAAAAAAGACTTGTTAGGGGAAAAGTCCCTCCAGGTTTCCGTGGTAACCCCCAGCTCCAGCCAGGATAAGTGAACTCATGGAGGACCCAGCAACTCCAGAGACATCTTCCAAGCCTGAGACCCCCTGGGAGCTGGAGCAGGATGATCTTCCAAAGCTGAGCCCCCTGGGAGAACAGTGATCTTCCAAAGCTGAGACCCCCGGGAGCAAGGTGATCTTCCAAAGCTGAGACCCCCGGGAGCACGGTGATCTTCCAAGGCTGAGACCCCCGGAAGCACGGTGATCTTCCAAGGCTGAGACCCCCGGAAGCACGGTGATCTTCCAAGGCTGAGACCCCCGGAAGCACGGTGAGCAGGCTGTCCAGCTATCTCTACAATGGCCCTGTCATTCCTTGAGTAACTCAAGGCGATGTGCTTTTCCAGTGAATTGAACCTGGAGCTGTGTTGATTTGTTTTTCCCGAACTCATTTCCATTTAAATCAGCTGACCTTCAGCCCCTTGCATAATGCAGGCGTTCTTGAAGAGAAATCAATCAACACTTGAAGGAAATGGATTTGTGTTTGCATCTTCTCGGATGGGCCTTCTGCCCTGCATGCCCAAGGTCTAAATCTGTGTTTCAATCACTGTGCACGTGTGTGTGTGCGCATATATGTGTGTGTATGCATGCACTTGTGTGTGCAGAGGCTAGGTGGCAGGGGGCAGCCATGTCCCAAATTCAAATCTACCTCTTCCTGCTGCTGTGTGCCCTTAAGTGAGTTCCCTAACCTCTCTGGGCCTCTGTTTCCTCTTCAGTGAACTGAGGTTGGCCTGTTATTTCACCCGGTTATTGAAGGAATCACCAGGAAGCAGAGATGTCTGTCTCTCAACAGCGCCTCTTCTCAGCACTCCCCACCTCCTCAACCTCCAGAGTGTGGAAAGAACCATGATCTTGGGCACTGCCATACCCTGCAGGTCCCCAGGCCTCCATCCCTAGAACACAGCAGGCACAGTGGCTGGGGGGGAGGGCCACCTGGCCTAGGGACTAGGCTCCCTGCCCACCAGCCTCCTGAGGTCAGGCTGGAGGGATGGGGCCTGCGTCAGTGTTGGTGGCCAGCAAGGACTCAGCTTGTTGTGCAGCTCCAGGTGGCTGGGACCGGGGCACCACGCTGAGCTGGTAGACTCCTGGACCTGCCCACTGAGCTGGAAGGCCCGCCACACCCTGTTAGCATGGAACATGCCACCGTCAAAGTCCTAGTGTGCTTCCCGGAACCCCTGAGAGCCCAGGGGCCTCTTCAGGGCCCACACACTTGTCATACATCGGCTGTGTATGAGGGAGCGGGCCCAAGCCAGGGCATGGGGTGTGGAGGCCCAGGAGCGCTTGCCTGGCCACCGTTCCCAGGAGGGGCTGGGGAATTATCTCCAGGTCAGCTTCATCTTGTGGATCCACCTGCCTGTCTGCTCCTACTCAGACCCCATCCACTCCTTACAGCTAGGTAAACTGAGGCCCACAGGGGCCAGCGCCTTGCCCAAGTTTCTCCCACAGAGCTTGGATTCCTCCCAGAACCTAATCCTCAGAACCCAGAAGCGTTTTCTGGGGCCAGAGAAACAAGAGGTCTTGGGTCCAAGCCAGGGCCTCCTCGGGCGGCTGTCGCAGGCCATTTGCTCAGCTTTTGGGGCTGGTTTGTCACTGGGAGAGCTCCAAGACCCATGGCTGGGCCCAGGGGGATATGGGCCATTAGCCCCATCAGTGCCCCTAGAGTCCCTGAGCTTCTTGAACTCTGCCTGGGCTTGGTAAGGGTGCCTGGCTGTGGGACTCTGGGTGGCAGAGGCCACCCTGCATCCCATAGGCCCTGAGCCCGAGGCCCAGAATCTGCTCTCTCTGGCCTGAATGCACAGGCACCCACCCTGCGCTGCTGTGGACCTGGGGCCTGTGGGCTGCGTGACTCTGGACCCCTTACCCAGCTGCCCTGGGCCTCCTAGTTTTTGTCCTCCAGATGGGGGTGACGTCATCATTGTGAGGCTCAAAGGGGAACCCACCCGAGGTGCGCACAGCACCCCACCCCTCCCTGCCCCTCCCCTGCCCCACACTGGGAGGGGGAGTTATTCTCCCCAACATTCAGGAGGCAAAACTAGCGCCTGAGAAACACACCCAGAATGTGGCCCTGAGACCAGGCCCTTGGCAGACCCAGCTCCAGAAACCTGGGCCCTGCCTCCTCTAAGTCACAGTCACCATCATCCACCTTGGCCCTCTTCCCGCCCCGCCCTCCTCCCACCCCTACCTGTTACCTCCTGAGAGTAGTTAAGTCAGATCTCCAGGGTAGACCTTCGACATCCCTGCAGAGGGCTGGGCCAAGGGTGACACTGCACCATTAGCCCTAACTGTGCCCCTAGAGTCCCCAACGCAGGGGGAGAGGACAGCCCACAGGCAGCTGCCTGGGGAGCAGCAGCAGGACAAGGGCGGCCCTAATTTGCAGGGATCTCCCTGAGCCCCTCTGAGACCAGCCCCACCTTGCCCAGGGCCCAGGACTGAGCACTCAGGGTGCACAAGGGAAGAACGGCCTGCCGCTGGCGCAGGTGGAGGCTCTCTGTGGGGGGTCTTAGTCCAGAAGTCAAGGCTAGCTCCATGGGCTCAAGGGACCTGTACAGTCCCGCAGGGCCCCGTTCAGAAGGGCCCCTCCTCTGTGTTTGCTGCCTTCAAAGTCACAATATTTCTTGAGTTTTTGAGCAAGGGCCATCTTTCATTTTGCACTGGGCCACATGGATCATGTAGCCGCACCTGCCTAGAGCAGGGCCTCTCACTGAGGGCGGGGTGTTCTGTCCCCAGAGGTCAAAGCCCAGAGAAGTTAAGACACTGCTGAAGGTCGCCCAGGGCCTCTGGCACAACCAGGCCTGGGACACTTCCCACGATGGGCAGAACAGGAGACAGGAGGAGGGTCTCTGCTGCTCGGGGGACTCCCAGCCGCCGCCGGACCCCTGAGGCGCCCCCCACCCCCGCCTGACCCCATGGCAGCGCCTGGCAGGGCGCAGGGTCACCGCCCTGCCGGAAGGTTAAACAAACAGAAGCGGAGGAGGGGGCCAGGAGGGGGAGTTCCAGCGCTTCTCGGCTTTCGGGGCGAGTTGGTGCCCCCCGCCGGGGCCTGGTGGGAGAGGGGAGATAATCCGCCCCGGCAGAAGCGCCTCCGGGAGGCTCCGGGTCTGCCACGGCCCCTTGGCCCTGGAAGAGGACGGCAGCGGAGAAACCTGGCTGCGGAGCGGCGGGAGCGCAGGGCCGGGGCGGGCCGCGATAAGATGAGGACAGCACGGGCTGGGCCGGGGGCGGCCGCAGAGGCCGGGCTGGGGACGAGCACTCCCTAGGGTGAAGGTACTCGAGGTCCCAATGCGCCCCGAGCGCTCCCTGCCCTCCCCGTGCAGGCGCCGCTGGCAGTGGCTTCGTTCCGGTAATTTAAAACCGTGGGGAGAAGCGGGGCTGTTGAGCGCTGAGACGCAGCCCCGACCCAAGGTCAAAAGCCGCGCGAAGAGCAGTTAAGATGGGACTTTGTTCTTGCTGGTAACGCATTGGGCCACACGACAGGGGCGACCTCGCCACCTGGTCCTTCGCCAGAGGGGAGCGCCAGCTCATTGGGGTCGCATTGTCCCCAGTGGCGCAGCGTGTCTGCCTGCCAGATTCCGGGGCAGTTGGGCAGAGGCCGGGATCCCCCGCAACCCGGCCTTCGGGCCACCTCTGCCGCGCTCGGTCTCTGCCCAGGAGTCCAGGCTGTGTTTGGCCGGAAGGGGCCCTGGGCCCATTTTGAGAACGGCGTTACTACCGAAGGGGTGGGTGGCGGAACTGAGGAGGGAGCAGGGCTGCGACCTCACCCCCACAGCCTCTCGTCACCTCGAGAGCCTCAGCTGCGCCGTCTGGGAAACCGAGGCTCAGGGCTGCACCGAGCAGAGGTGTAAGGGGGACCCAGGTAGGCCACAGGGCAGGAAGGTAGCGCGGGCGGAGGTCGCTCCTGCCGCGGCCCGGCGCCCCGGGAAAGGCCCGAGGCACAGGAGAGCACCGTTCTTGGGACCGGAACCGATGGGTAGGGCCACAGGGCCAAGCGTCTGAGACCGCGTCCCAAAACCCAGCGCAAGCCCCCGACCGCCGGGGCTCGGCTGCAGTAGGTCACTCCGGGGGACCCGGTGCTCCGAGGCGAGAAGAAAGCGGGACGGGCAACAGCGGCGGCCCACGGTGCCCGGGAAGGGGGCAGTGGTGGGAAACGAGAGCGCGCCGGGCCCCGCGTGGTTTCCCCGCGTGCTTTTTTCCCTAAACTCTTAAGACCAATCGTGCGCACCAGGCACTCGACCATGTCCAAGTCTGCTCGCTCCGTCGCGGCATGGACTCTCCCCAACTTTGAAACAGGGCGGCGGGTGGGGTGGCGGCTTCGGGCCGGCAGACAGTAATTCCTGCCCGGGAGGGTGGCCTCGGGAGAGGCGCTGGGTCCTCGGGAACTGCGCCGCGGTAGTCACTCGCCTGCTGTTGGTGCCCACGTCCCCGCGGGGGCTGCACTCGCACACGCCGCGCTAGACCGACCGGAGGCAGGCGTTTCCCGGAGCCAAGGCGCGCACCGACGCGGGGAGGGGGCAGGCGGCCGGGTGGGGGGAGTCGGCTTGCTGTCCGCAGCGTCGTGGGGCGGGGGCGCGGCCATTGGTGTCCTTTCTTGGAGAGGTCACATCAGAGCCTTGAGCAACCGAGAAAGAAACCCAGACAAACAGGGAAGGAAGCGTCTTATCCGGCTTAAAACGCGCAGATGCTGCGGGCGGGGTGGGCCGAGGGGTGGCGGCGGGCAGAGGACCCAGGAGGGCCCCGCCCGCCATCGGTGCCCGCGCCTTTGGACCCCCCGCCGCTCTCGGGAACCCGGGGCCCCGGGCGCCTCCGAGAGGGCGGCAGCCGGGGAAGGGCGTGGGGGGAGGGGAGGGGTGGCGTGGGGATGAGGGAGGGGGTGGCGTGGGGGGAGGGGAGGGGTGATGTGGAGTGAGGGAGGGGATGGCATGGCTGGGGAGGCAGATGGCGGGCCCTGCTGGGCTGGCTGCCTGCGCTCTTTCGCCGCCAAGACTTCTCGGCAAACCCAGCCTGCGTCCGGGGAGGGCGTGTTTGCGGAGTTAGGCCAGCGAGGACGCGGAGACCCAGTGGAGGAGCTACTGTGAGTGTAGTTCCTCCAGACTGTTCGGCTCGCGATAGCGTCTTCGTAAGCGTCTGTGTTTGCGGGGTAACCGCGGGTCCCATGCAACCCAAAGCCTCAGTCTTCCTCCATAAAATGGGGCTAACAGGGCCGCCTGGGGATGTCCTGGCTGGCCCGTGGTGCGCCTGGGCTCTCTGAGTTTCTCGAGGAGCCGCCCGCAGCTCCGGGAGGGCCCGAGACAACTCGCAGCTTCGCGGTCGCAGACGCCTGGGTTCGCACACGCGGTCAGACCGGGCACCACGGTAACAGCGCTCAGGTGACGCAACTTGGCGCTCCAGTTGCGCGCGGCCCAGCGGGGCTGCAAACGCCGAGCTGGGGAGGAGGAGATAGGGCAGGACGCAGCCGGGAAGACTGCCTGGAGGAGGCCAGGTCAGAGCTCCGCTCTGAAGGGCATGAGTCGGGAGTGTTGAGTGTCCTCTCCCGTCATTTCACCACTCCAGAGTCCCGAAGGTTCCCACCGTCTTTTCCCAACCCACATGGGGCAAGGATCCCGCCCCCAAACCCCGACTTTTCCTTGGGGTTTCAGTACCGGCTCACAGTGGCTTTGCGGGGTTCAAACGTGCAGCTGCGGCTCGGATTCGTTTCTGTCCGCGGATAGGATGGAGCGTCTGTGAGCCGCGGGTTCTCGGTTTTGGGCGAAGCAGTGAAGCAAACAGTGGCTCTCGCAGGGAGCTTTTAGGGGTGTGGTGGTGTAAAGCACACAGAGAACGCTGCTGTATGGTCTGAGGTCAGGGAAGGGGACTGGGCATCTGAGCTGGGTGTGAGCAACACGAAAGCCATTTCCCCGGTGCTGGGAACAGTGGAGATGTGACCGCTGCTGCCTGCGCTTGAAGGCAGCGCCTGGAGTTTGGAGGACCGAGTCTAGGAGCGGAGTTTGGAGTTAGAGCTCCTAAGAGGAGACGAGGAGACAGCGGTCCCTGAGACCCCAGCGACGGGACAGCATTGGGACTTGGTGCACATGGGACCAGCGTTAGGAGGGGAGCCGAAGCCTGGAACTGGCAGTGCAGGGGCTGCAGGGCCTGTGAGGCCTCCTCAGGCCTGCTTTCCCTACTCCCAGCTAGGGGAGGGGTTCAGAAATGCCTGCGGGGCTGAGGCTGTGCCTGGGCCAGCCAGGCCTTGCCGGCGACCCACCACGACCTGGGGTGGGTGGGGAGGACAGTGTTGGTCCCAGCAACAGCACTGAGGTAGAACTCATTAGTAATTTTTTTTTTTTTTTGAAGATGAGGCCTCGCTGGGTCACCCAGACTAGACTGCAGTGGTTTGATCACAACTCCCTGCAGCCTCGACCTCCTGGGCTCAAGCGATCCTCCAACCTCAGCCTCCCGAGTAGCTGGGACTACAGGTGCGCACCAGCAGACCCGGCTAGGGATCATCATCATTACACCCATTCTCTGGAGGAGAAACCTGAGGCTCAGGTCACTCAGCAAAATACACTAAACACAGTGAAACGGGTGCACTTCACTTGGAGTCTAGTCAGCCATTTGGGACACACCTCCCAGTCCAAGAGATAGCTGGACAGTGGAGAAATGGAACCCCTCCTGGAGCCAGGACTGGCTCAAAGAGCGGTGGGTTGTATTCAAGGCTGAACAAGCTTGAGAAGCCCCTGCTGCCCGGGCACAGCCAGGCAGAGACTGGAGAGGAGGAGGAAGTGCAGCAATGCCCCAGACCCAAAGAACAACCTGGTTGGGGGGATGGTGCCAGGGCTGGATAGAGGAAGACCAAGTCCCCCCATGCCTCCTCCACTCTCCAGGGAGCACTGTCTGGCCTACCTCAATTTGTGAAAATGCCAGCTCACGTCCTGGGGAGTGGAGCTTGCAGGGGCACCTGGGAGAGCCTCTGCCCAGCTGGAGCAGCTGTCAGGTTTGCCTAGTTTGCTGCTGCAAGCGATTAGATACAGAATTGGCGCACTAATTCTGGGTCCCAGCAGCCCCATCCAGTGACATGAAGACAGTTTAAGTCCCCTGGAGCACAGATAATCCCCTTGTCGCTGGGCTCCCTGGCCCTGCCTGAGCTGCTTCTGTAAAATGGGGCAGCCAGGCTTGGGAAAAGCAAGGCGGGGTGCTGTGTCTGAGAGCGCTCTGACAGCGCCAGGCAGGGGTGAGTGTCAGGGTTTGACAAATCCACTCCCCCCACCCATTTTGGAAGATAATTGGCTTGGGGATGACCCTGTCCTCTTGGCCTCAGCCCTTCCTTCCCCCGGGGATAACCCTGGACATTTTTTTTTTTTTTTTTTGAGATGGAGTCTTGCTCTGTCGCCCAGGCTGGAGTGCAGTGGCGTGATCTCGGCTCACTGCAAGTTCTACCTCCCGGGTCCACGCCATTCTCCTGCCTCAGCCTCCCGAGTAGCTGGGACTACAGGCGCCTGTCACAACGCCCGGCTAATTTTTTTGTATTTTTAGTAGAGACAGGGTTTCGCTGTGTTAGCAAGGATTGTCTCGATCTCCTGACCTCGTGATCTGCCTGCCTCGGCCTCCCAAAGTGCTGGGATTACAGGCGTGAGCCACCGCGCCCCGCCCCGCCCCTGGACATTTACATTTAAGGGGAGTAAACAGGATTTCTGGCCCTGGGAGCTGTTAGGATGGTTTTAGAGACCCCTAAAGTAAATCCAGCCTCTGCCTCCTCTGGTTGGTGGCTCTGGGTGAGTGCCACCACCTCCCAGGACCTCTGCTTTCTCCTGGCAAAGCCTGGGTGTGAGCCTGGCTCCAGGTTTACCTGTCACAATTGATCGTGATCTTGCACGTTGATTTGCTTATTTGTATGACGTCTGCAAACTGTACTGACTTGTTCACAGCTAAAGCCTCACTCATCAAACTTTGCCCAGCACAGACAGATTGGGAATGAAGGAATAAATGAATGAGTGCGGGAGGGACCCCACCATTTACTAGACCCAGTGGAGGATTTCAAGGGAAGCTAAGCTCAACGAGGGTGCACATCACTGCTGGGTGCTGGAGGTTCTGGGCCCTGTGGGGCAGGCACTGCCACCTGCCATTTCCCTCCCTGCGCCAACCTTGTGCAGCAGCGGCTCAGGACCGAGTCTTGTCGGGGTTTATGGGGCCCTGGCGCAGCAGCCAAACGTCCTTCTGAGAAGTTGGGGGAGGGTCTTTGAGATCCCAGAGAGGCAAGGGGCGGAGAGAATTCGTAGCAATTTAACAAAAGGAAGCTACTTCTGTGGGGGTGGGATAGCACATGGTCGGGGCACAGTTACTGGGTGGCCCCTGAGCGTGGCAGTCCAAGGCCCCTGCTGCCCTTGCCTTTCTGGTTTATTTTTTCCTTTTCTCCACCGCGTTTACTCCTGTGCAGCACAGTGCATCCCCCTGGAGATCTAAACGAAATCCCCTGGAGGAAAGGCAGACTCCACGCATGGCCCTCAGGCACCTGCTCAGTCCCCTTCTTGCAGGTGCAGATCTCCCTGCGCAGGGGAAGAGGCCAGGTTTGTAGCTGTGAGGTCCCACCCAGCTTGGCGTCAGCACTGGGAAATCGGGGCAAACCCGTTCTTTTCTCAGGCTCAATTTTCCTCCACAGTGGAGCCGGGTGGCAGACTCTAAGGGACCATGAGGACCAGGCGCTGGGTAACCGGGAGGTGACTGACTCCCATACATCTCTCAGTGCCAGCTCTCCACCTGCTTTCAGGAGGTTTTTGGCTTCAATCATTTTGCATCAGTTTGGCCAAGAAAAGGCCCTGGAAGCAGTCGGGGTCGCCGAGCATCCAGCCCGGTTGTGTAGGGAGGGCATTTGGCCCAGCACCCAGCACCCGGCACCCAGCACCCAGCACCCAGCACTCAGCACAACACACACCTGTCACCTGTCACCTGGCATCCGGCACCCAGCACAGCATGCACCTGGCACCCAGCACCCAGCGCCTGGTACCCAGCACCCGGCACAGCACGCATCTGGGGCATTCAGTTCCTCCTGGGCTGGGTGCAGCAAGGCTGGGCGCGCTGTCTGCATTGGGAGGGCCGGCCGCCCCAGGCTTCTCCCTTTGGTACTGGGGAAGGGGTGGCCTCCTCTCTCTGGGAAACATGTTGCTGCAGCACAGCCTCAAGGGTTGGGGGTGAGCTGTGGGGTGCGGAGGTGGAGGGGCCTGAGGAGCACGGACAGTCTGGGACCACTGGCCTGTGCCCCATTGCTGCAGGGGAGGGAAAGGCTCTGTCATCGTCTTGGTTCCTGTCACCCTCACTACAAAGTGACTATGTGTATTTTTCCAATGAGAAAACTGAGGATCAAAAAGACAGTGGGCCTCGGAGCTTGGCTTGGCATTTACCAACCTGGGGGTGGGGGGGTGGCACTAAGGCCTGAGGCCCGCATGCAGCCTGTGGAGCCAGGACGGAGCTGCAGGCAGCTGTTGGCAGACTCACGGCATCAGTATCTCCCAGCAACCATACATCTGCCTCCCGGTAAAGGCAGGAGGCTGGGGTTGTTTTTGGAGAACTTGAGTTGGAATTGTGATGATGGGCAGGGCTGAGGCCCCTCCCCAGGCATTAAATGAATAAGAGGCAGGCAAAATCTCTCCCTGCTCCTCCTGAAGAAGCTCCCCTCCTGGTGGAAGTCCTGCCTCTGTGGACCAGAGGAGCCTGCTCCCCCGAAGTGATGCTGCCGTCGGGGGCCGATTGCAGCCTCATCTTGGAATTACACTTTAAAGTTGTATTCAGTCAGAGCATCTATGTGAATGCTACAGGTATTGGCCAGGGAGTGGGTTCTTCCCTGCCTGGGCTGCCCCTCAGAGGGCACTGAGATCATCCTCTGCCCTTCATGGACCCCAGTTTCCCCCTCCTGTAGATGGACCCTGTTGGACTGAAGTCTCAGCAACCCCTGAATCTCCATTTGCTGATTCTGAGCCTCCTCCAGTCCTTGCCTCCTCAATTGCCTTTTCATTAAGTGATGCTGTCTTTGCATATGTGGGGAAGAGTGGAGTTCAGGAAACTGGTGCTCCAGAGACCCCGCAAATGATTCCTAATTAAGTTAGTTCTCTGAACTTCACATCGGCTTATTGTTTTTAGATGAAGATTAAATGGAAGTGAGCTATTTTCCACTTCAGATGTCCCCATGAGACAGCCAGGCTAGATGCTGCCCCCTGTTGGCCTTCTGCACTAATTGCAGGCAAAGAAGCAACAGAGAGGACAAGCAGCCTTGCAGCTGCTTAATTTTTGCGGCTGCTGGACTTGAATACAGACCTGAAGTGGCAATAATAACATCTTTGAGGGATTCTAAAGGGGGTCAGGGACCCTCCTCCTTCCCTGCTGTGTAGAAACACAAAGTAGGAGCCAGAAGGAGACTTGGGGCCCAAGCCCGCTCTTGCGCCCTGCACTCCTCTGTCATTCATGTGTGATTGGACCCTGAAGAGTGCCTGGCCTGGCTTCCCATGTGCGCAAGGACAGGGCTGAGCTCCTTCTGGGATCTGTCTTGGGGCCAGAACAGGGCCTCGCCTGTTGACTGCATTACATCAGTAGTTGTCGGACAAATGACTAAGCAAATAAATGAGGTGACTTCATTCCTCCAGGCCTGAATTTGTAGTCTATGAGATGAGGACAGAAGAGGCAATGCCCCGGTGGGGATGAGACATTCCTGGCTGGGAGGACTATGTGAACAGCACAGGACTCTGCAGACAGCAGTATTGCCCGCCCCCCACCCCTGACCTCACCTGCTGGTCTGGCCTGCCAGGAGCCCTGGGTCATTGCTGTCAGATTTAGGTTGCATATTTGGTGGCGGGGAGCGGGGTGGCTGTGCATATAGGATTCCCCTGGAGATGGTCCGATTAGCATTTTTAGGAACAAGGAAGAGTCATTTTTAAAGCTCACTTCAGTTCTTCTCCTTCGTAGGCCCAAAACCACATTGGAAACTTTAAGATACCATGTGAATTGTAGAAATGGTGTGGGTGTGGAGATGCAGGGGAGTTTTTTTTGTTTTGTTTTGTTTTCTTGAGATGGAGTCTTGCTCTGTCGCCCAAGCTGGAGTGCAGTGGCACCATCTCAGCTCACTGCACCCTCTGCCTCCAACGTTCAAGTGATTCTCCTGCCTCAGCCTCCTGAGTAGCTGGGATTACAGGCGCCTGCCACCATGCCCAGCTGATTTTTGTATTTTTAGTAGAGATGGGGTTTCACCATGTTGATCATGCTGGTCTCGAACTCCTGACCTCGTGATCTACCCGCCTCGGCCTCCCAAAGTGCTGGGATTACAGGCACAGGGGAGTTTTAAGAGGGAAAATGCGCATTTCCGCATCTCTGTCCAAGGAGGGTGTTGTTATTTCAAGTCAGTTCCACAAACTTCCTGGAGGTGGCGGCCTTGGGACAGGACGTTCATCCCAGCGCGGCTCTACTTTGCGTATTTAAGCCTTCAGAATAAATTAACCTTAGATGAATACTTCCACTGTGCTAAAGAAGCGAGAGAATTCCAGCAAAATCTGGTTCATTGACAGACGGTTGGCCCGGACAATTCAGGTCCAAGGAGTTGTGCTGTTTTAGCACGTCCTCCCCTGGTCCTGAGAATGTAATGTAGGGTGATTGGGACACTGTTTGTGGGCAAATTTATTTGAGGTTATTTTAAAGCTGGTGTCTGTCCCCATCTTCATCTCGGTGCTGTGAGTCCGCCGGGGGCACCCTGGACTGAGAACCAGGCCCCACCTTGCAAATGTCCATGTGCTGGTTGCCCCTCCCAGCCCCATCCAAATGATCCCTTTTGGGGTGCTCAGAATAGACTGGTGGGGACAAAATGAACTTCGTTGGTTGCTAAGAATCATAGGCACAGGGATTCACGTGGGCCCTGTGGAGCTGAGGGCAGTCAGAGACCGCAGTGCAACAGACTCATTCCCCTAAAGGTGGCACAGGTATCCAGGCTTGTCATAGGGGCTGTGTCTGTCTAGAGGCCTCTAACCGGGGGGAGGGGGTCCCGGCTTGACTGGGGCCTGGCAGCCAGATGCCCACTCACCCACTCCTTCTCAGGCCTGGGGCATTCAGAGAGCTGCTGCCACCCTGTCCCCTCTGGCAGCACAGGCTTTGGGTCTTCTGTGGAGTTGGGTGATGAGTGTGTCAGATTTGATGGGAGCCCAGTCATCCATCCAGCTGTCGCCCCCACTAAGGGGTCCCCCTTCCTGCCTGCCTCCTGCCAGTGTGAGCAGTTATCCCCAAGGAGGGCTGTAGCCAGCCCCAAGTGGGCTTACCACCAAGAGGGGCCACAGGGAGAAGGGGCCAAGGGAGTTGAGATGTGGGAGACATGATTATCCCCCACCCCAGATACCTCCACAGGGGCTCGGGCTAGGCCCCCAGCCTGCAGGGAGACCGAAGTTCAGGGTTAGAGGAGACTCAGACCACCTCCTTCCCATCCCCGGAGCCCACCCCTGTTGGCTTCTGAGAAACCCAGCCATGCTGCCACACTGGCTTCTCTGATGCACTGAAGATGGCGGGAGGAGGTTGTCTTGTCAAAGGAAGGGACCCCAACGCACAGCTTGAGACCCCATTAGACACATCTCTTCCCAAGGCTCTCTGCTGGCCCTTCTCATGGAAGATCCCCACTCGCCTTCTTGTCCTTATAATTGGTCAGCCTGGTTCCAGCTGGTTTCAGCCTGAAGGGTGGGCACTAGCCTGGAACTTGCCTCTTCCTTACACCCAGCTAGCTCTCACATGTTCTCAAAGAGCTGGCCTCTGCACTACTGAGGTCCCTTTTCAGCATCTCAGAAGCACAGTCTTTCTGCACATCATTACAGGCTTAAGTCAAGGGGGTGGTAGGAGCAAAAAAAAAAATGAGTAACCTTGCAGAGTAGTGAGTTCCCTGTCAGGACAGGTATGTGAGCAGCAGCAAAATGATCCCTGTTAGGAGTTTTCTACACTGGGCCATTGCTTGGGAGCCTCCCTTTGAACTAGTTTTCCAGGCTGACTCCTAGACGAGTCAACACTTCTGTTCTGTGGCTCAAAATCGCACTTTCTGCAGTCCCTGGGGTAGCCTCACCGAGGCCAAAGGAGCAAACAGCTGATACGCTACATAACTTTGGAGGGGCCCTGGCTCAAGCTACTGCACGGAGGCTAATGAGCATTTAGGGCTGAATACTGTCTGCTGTCATCCCTTTTTGCTTGTATAGCAAAATAGACTGGGTAATTGATAAAGAACAGAAATGTATTCCTCATAGTTCTGGAGGCTGGGAAATCCAAGATCAAAGTGCCAGCAAATCTGGTGTCTAAGGAGGACTTGCTCTTTGCTTCTACTATGGCATCTTCTTGCAGCGTCCTCACATGGCAGAAGGACAAAAAAAAAGTGAACTCGCCCCCTCAAGCCCTTTTATAAGGGCACTTCTTACCTCCCCAAGGCCCTAGCTTGTCATATTCTTGCACTAGGAATTAAGTTTCAACATGAATTTGGGAGGGACACAAACATTCAAACCTCAGCACTATTTCCCGAAGATATCAGGTGCTAAACCTAGAACCTGTAAATGTTGCCTTTTGCAGGAAAGGGTGTTTGATAATGAGATTAGGTAAGGATTTTGAGATGAGCAGGGAGTATCCAGGTAGGCCCTAAATGCAATCATGTATATACTTAATGAGTGGGAGGCAGGGAGACCTGGCCACAGACACACAGAGAAGGCCGCATGAAGGCAGAAACAGTTTGGAGCCATGTGGCCACAAGCCAAGGAACGCCCAGAGCCACCAGGGGCTGGAAGGGGCAAGAAGGAGCCCCCCCCGAGGGCCTCCCGTGGAGTGCAGCCCTGCTGACTCCTCATTTCAACCCGGCATTACTGACTTTGGACTTGTGGCCGCCAGACTGGGAGAGAATACATTTCTGTTGTTTTATGCCACCAGGTTTGTGGAACTCTACGGGTACAGGTGGACTAAGGCCAGGTGTATGTGGATTGGTCTTTGGTGTTTCACAGACAAAACTCAGCGTCGTAGCAACCTCGGAGCCCAGGCTGCGGCTACAGAGCCACCCAGCAGGACTTGCTGCCTGAGGTCTGAGGGGCCTCCACTCTCTGCCTGAGGTCTCAGGGGCCTCCACTCTCTGCCTGAGGTCTGAGGGGCCTCCACTCTCCGCCTGAGGTCTGCGGACCTCCACTCTCTGTCTGAGGTCTGGGGGCCTCCACTCTCTGCCTGAGGTCTGGGGGCCTCCACTCTCTGTCTGAGGCCTGGGGGCCTCCACTCTCTGCCTGAGGTCTGGGGGCCTCCACTCTCTGCCTGAGGTCTGAGGGACCCTCTCCACTCTCTGCCTGAGGTCTGGGGGGCCTCCACTCTCTGCCTGAGGTCTCAGGGGCCTCCACTCTCCGCCTGAGGTCTGGGGGTCCCTCCATCAGGAATGTTGGTGGGGAGGGTGCTTCTCCTCCACCCTGCCTACACACAGCCATAAGAGAGTTTGAGTGGGGCAGGGAGAGAAAGTTTCATTCTTGCCTTGTCTCCTTCAAAATCCTTCTCACACTTCAGTTATCAAACTTGTCCTGCAGACGCCAGAACAGATACGCTCTGCAAGGCCCTGTAATGAGAAATGGCTCAGCGGGAGGGTGCCACAGGATGAAGACGATTCCATTTCCAGTCTTCCCCAGGCCAAGCCTCTGCCTTCCAGCAGCTCTGGAGGAGCAAAGATTCCTGTAGATGATGATAGATGGGTGGGCGATGATGTGACCTAAGTTCACCCCTCCAGCCGGCAAACATTTCACCCACTGTGGGACCCGCTGAAAAGCTCACTGGTTTGGGACGACCAGCTCTTGGCAGTGAGGAGGTAACGGTCTCCACAGGCCACTGGCATGAGAGGGGGCCGGCTGCCTCTGCCCACTCAAACGCCAGCACCTACTGTGCGCAGAGCCCTGAGCTGGGGTGCACACAGATGTCATCTCTGTCCTCTGTCTGATGACAATCTCGGCAGCCAGCAGGGGGTGCGGCAGATGGTGTGGTGCTTAGAGGAGCCTAGGGGGTAGGGAGGAGGGGGCGGGCAGGAGGAGGAGTCCAGTTTGACTCTCAGCAGCGCCCTCCCTGCCCTCCCCGCCTCCCCGCCCTCCCCGCCGCACCCGCTGCAGATGCAGGCCTCCCCTCCCATCCTGAGTTACCCACCCACCCACACCAGGCTCCAGAAGGGTGGGTGCCAGTGACATATTCACTGCAACTCACCAGTCCCCTGACTTTGAGTAAAGACCAATTTACACCCCAGAGAGTAGCCACTACTTACACTCCTCAGTCTGGCAAAGCCTTAAGAAGGAGCTGTGCTACCTATAGGCAGAGGATTTGGGAGAGGCGTCCTCTATGGCGCTGGTGGAAGGCCCAGGGGGGTCAGTCTTTTGGAAAAGCAATCTGGAAAATTGGAGTAACATCAGTGACTACACACACCCAGCCCATTAGGCCCATCAGTACTACACCCAGGAATCTCTCTGGTAGAAACAGCCCCACCAGCACCTAAGGAGGCAGCGGCAGGTTTCTTCACAGGCCCACACGGCTGCAGGGTTATCTGCTGTCACCAGCACTGGAGACAGAGTGAATCCCGTGAATGGGGAGATGCAGAAACGCCCCACCACCACCACCATGGAAATGAGTGCAGCCACTAAACAGGGAGTGGAGGCTAAACCAGAAGACAGAGAGGGGTTTTCAGGGCCCACTGGATGGGAAAGAAACAGGCAGAAGAATGTGTGTCATGGATAGAACACACAGAAAACGGTGAGCCCGAAACCCTACTGCTTGTACATTGCAGCCACACGTGCTTGCGTTGCTCTGCGTCTCTGCAGGATTCACTGAGCATCGAGAGGCAGAGCGATGTGTAAAGACATCGAGCTGGCGATGCAGGATTTGGAGGGGGATGGGATGGGAATGGGTGGGTTCCTGATGGGCCACACAGAGCCTGTGACCCCATGGGCGGGAACGGGACCTGGTATCCATCTGGGTGACATGGCAGGATGTATGGCTGTGGGGGCATGTCAAGGGGGTAGGGCTGTGTGGGCACCTATACGGACCCGTGGGGTGTGTGTCTGTGTGTGTGTGTGTGTGTGTGTGTGTGTGTGTGTGTGTAGGGGGATGTGTGAGGCGTTTACAGGGTGAGGTGTGTATACAGGGGTGTGTGTCAGTGTAGACAGGGGACTGTGTGAGGAGTTTATGGGGAGAGGTGTGCATAAGGGGTTGTGTGGGTGTGGACAGGCACGTGTTTTCATATGTGTGTGTTAAGGCAGGGGTGTGGGTCTGTGTGAATAGGTTTGTAGATTGTGTCTGTGTGCATGGGCCTGTGTGGACCTGGATGGATGTGTGTGGGTGTGTTTCTGTGTGGACGGGGGCGTGGGTGTGTGTGAGGGTGGGGCTGTGTGGGTGCAGGTGTGGATGGTGTGTGTTTATGTGACTGTGTGGGGGTGTGGAGGGATGGGTCTGTGGGCGTCGGTGAGTGTGGGGTGTGCGTGTGTGTTTCGGCCTTTGTCTGCCTAAAGAGATGCCAGGTGAGACCATCCCAGAATGCTGACGGGAGTCTCAGAGTGGTGCGCTTACAGACGGCCTGTTATCTCCGCATCGTGGAGGATCTGTCCAGTTCTCTGTGTTCAGCATGTATTTATATACTATAAAAAGCCATTTTTGTTGTGGAAAAAGAAGGTTGAGGTAAAGGCAGAGACACTGAGGGCCCAAAGGGGCAGCCTGGGCACCGTGAGGCATGGGCCAGGTTTACGCACGTTGGGTTCAGATGGGCTGCGCCAGCGACCTGTGCCCCACCTCGGCTTGTGGGGCTGTGGGGGGTGCCCGAGTCAAGGTGCTGTATGAACTGTGTTTTTTGCTGGTGTTGGTATGTGTTCATTCCTTTATCAGATGAAGAAATTGAGGCTCGGAGAGGCCAAGTGGAGGCTCAGGGTGGCAGAGCAGACTTGGTGGGTCTGGGCGCAGAGCCCACCCTTCCTGCCTCCTCCAGTAGGTAAGGGGGTGACCCCAGGGCCTCCATGGCTACGCTCTGACTCTCCCTCATTTTCACATCGGTGGGTCCATGGCATGTGAAACTGCTGCCCTGCTCCGCCCCCACACACCTGCACATGTGAACCTGGAGGGCCCTCCCAGTCTTTCAGGACCCCCACACCTCTTCCACATCCTTTACTCTCCTTCCACAGCTGGGCAGCCTCTTCGTACCCCAAGCTTCTGTCAGCCTCTACTAAGGGCCAGACACCCCTGACCACCTCTAAGTTATCTCTTTGGTGACTTTTCAGTGTTTCCATTCCATTTTTTTTTTCAAGAAGGGCAGCAGACATTTTAAAAAATTAATACTTGCACTTGGTACAAAACTGAAACCATGAAGTTCTGAACAGCGCAGAGAGGCAGAGGTCGTCCCACCTCTGTTTCCAGCACCCGGTTCTGCTCCAGCGAGGTTCTCTCATCCCTGCCCACAGATAACCTTGTCCGGGGGCTGCAGGAGCCAAGGAATGCTGGGTGCCTTAGAGCCACAGGACTGTATTCTCTCACGGTTCTGGAAGCCAACATCAGGCTGTGGGCAGAGCCAGGCTCTCTCTGAGGCTCTAGGGAAAGATGAGGCCCAGGCCTTTCTGCAGCCTCTGGTGGGTCCCTGGCTGTGGCAGCACTGTCCCCACCTCCGCCTCCACCTTCCCACGGCATCTCCCTGGGTGCGTGTCTGTGTCCACGTTTTCCCTTGTTATAAGAACACCAGTCATGTTGGATCAGAGCCCACCCATCTCCAGCATGACCTCATCTGAACTAATTACATCCGCAACCACCCTATTTCCAAATAACGTCACCTTCTGAGGTTCTGGGGGTTAGGACTTCAACATGTGAATTTTAGGACACAATTCAACCCATGATAGAGGCACACATCATCAACCGTCAATGCATACGTCGACACATGGTTCTTATGTTGACGTAGGTACCAATGGACATTAACCCCCCACCCTTTACTCACTTCCTGTCCTCTACTTGTCTGATTACCTCAATGGGTCCTCGGGGTGGCCGCATAACAAGTGCACCCCATTCTTTCTCCCAGCTGCATAACGCACCAGTGTGACGATGAACGCCTGTGTGCGTCACAGCTTCTGATCCACATGAAGGGTGTTTCCATTGTTTGAAATTACAAATCCTGCGCAGGGAATAAGCTGGGGCGGGGGAGGGGGGTGAATGGGGGACATCATCAGGCCCCACAAGTCCTTGTGGGGTTTTCTGAGCATCCACGAGGAGCCCAGCACGGAGTCTACAGCCAGGCTCAGGTGGAAAGTGGCTGCCAAACCTGTTGAAGCTTCTGACTTCTGCCCGCCTCCGATGTTGGGTGGGGGGCTTGTTCCCTGCCCACCTCCTGCAGCCCTCCCAAGACCCTCCTACGGAAAGGATTGCTAAGCCTGGAATTTTCCTCCAGACTTAACCAGGGATGCCTGGGCCAAACATTTCCCCAGCACCCCGAGCATGAGCATGTGCTCCCCCGCTGCAAGGAAGTCCCGTTGGGTCACGGCATCCATTCTAAGACCAACAGGGCCAAGCGTCTAGACGGGTGGGGTTCCTGTGCTGGCCGGCTGTGGTTTCCAGAAACTTCCCTCTGGCTCCTTGGGAAAAGGCTCTCTCCACCGTGGCTGCCCTAGCCCTGTGTTCCAGACTTGTTCCTCCAGCCCCAAGTCACTTCTAATCAAGGTCACCGGCAGCCTGAGACGGCTGCAGGTCCCCCGTGATTTGGGGAACTCAGAGCACAAATCTGTGCTCCATTGTGGAAACCAAAACCTACCCACCTCGAGGTGCTCTTGATATTAAAACCAGATATTCCCACACCCGGAGCCTTAAAGTGACCACAGCTTCACGTATCTTCATGGAGACCGGGAGAGGCTGGCGTCCAGCGGGCTGTGGCTGAGTGCAAGGCCAGTCTACCTCCAGTGCCTGATTTTGGCATCACACTTCTGAAAGTCATCACCAGAGCATCCATCCTCCAGGCGGTTTCCTGGGGACAGAGGTCCCGAGTTGGGTGTGCACCGTCACTGTCTCCCCCCAGCCACTGCAGCCACTCCCACGGGGCCTCATTATGTCAATTTCCACAGGAAGAAGCGGTGCTCAGGACGATGAATAGCGCTGTCTTCCTGCTGCTTCCATGGCAGAGCTGGGACCCAAACTCACAAATTTCTGCCTTTGTAATGGGCTCTGAGAAGAGAGGTTCTCCAAAGCCAGTCTACCTGCAGGTGTGCTGGGGCCTGCCACACACTATGAAATCAGCGGGGAGGGGCGGGGGACAATGGGGTCCTGGGTGAGGGGGGCAGGCGGTGTTCTCTGCCCAGTTCTTTTCATTGTTGCCTATGTTTGAAAGTTTTCAAAATCGAAAGAAAGTTAAGAGGGAAATCCTGCATTGAATGGAGGGCAAGGGAGCCCAGCTCGGTGGCCCTGGCACAGGGCAGGTGCTGGGGCCAGGCCCTGGGGTTGGGGGAGGAGCAGCCCCATGGGCACAGCGTCCCCTCCCGGGGGTGGCTTTGTTGGAGCCGCTGTCCCTGCTGAGGGGCCAGACGTTGGCGCGTCTGCCTCCCAGGCTGGCTGTGGGCAGGTGGAGGGGACCCTTCCCAGGGACTCCAGCGGCGGAGGCGGCTTCTCAGCTGGCCCCGGCGGTTCCAGGCTCCAGGGCAGTCTCCAGCCTGCAGGGAGCCAGGCTTGGGGGACGCGCACATGAGGCTGTATCCCGGGTGGGCCTTCCCTGGGAGAATGGCACCCATGACTGCCTCAGCTCCCCGGGACAATGAGTGAGCCCAGGCAGGGAGAGGGCTGAACCCCATTGCTGCAAGACCTGTGCAACCAGGAATGCCGAGGTCAACATCTTTCCCCTCCCCCTCCTTCCATCCCTCCCCTCCTCTCCATGCCTCCCCTCCGCTTCTCCCCATCCCTCCTGCACACTTCCCCTTCCCTTCCCTCTCTCCCTCCATATTCCTCCCCTTCTTCCTACCTCCTCTTTTCTCCTTCTTCTTCCTCCTCTCTCCTTCCCCCTCCATTTCTCCTCCCACTCCTTCTTCCCTTCCACCCCCTCTTCCTTCCTCCTCCCATCTCCTCCTCCTCAGGCCCAGTCCTTCCCTCTCTTTTCACTTCCTTCTCCCCCTTTCTTCTCCCTCTCCTCTCCCCTCTCCTCTCCTCTCCCCACTCCTCTCCTCTCTCCCCTCTGGTCCACCAGCCTTTGGGCGTGGTAGTTTATGAAAATTCTTCTCTTTCCAGTTTCTAAAGAGAGACTTTCACAAGGAAGGAATGGCTAGACCCCCAGAAGGCAGCCACAGTAGGTTTTGAACATTTTGATCTTTTTCAAAGCATTTGGTGTCTTTCAGTGTATGCGGAAGGCTTGTGTATGCGGTGATCTGCACTCCCCATATCCCAGCCCAGGGGTGGGCGTTCCTGCTGTTCCCCTCAACAGCGGGGTACATCAAGGTCCCTCAAGGGCAGTGACTTGCTCACACCTTAGTGGGCCAGCGGCTGAGCTGGAGTGAGGTGCCCTAGTTCCGATCCACATCTCCACAGCTGCAAGGACATTTCCTGCTGGCTGCGACGTGGGGATCAGACTAAGACAACGAGAATGTCTCGAGACTGTACTGCTCCCCAGGCCTGAGCGTGAGGGGCTAAAGGGAGAAAATAAGACACAGCCAGGTTCAACAGCCAACAGTTGCCTGGGGCCCCCTCCCTCCACACCCACCGACACTGTGTCTGGCCCCACAGACAGTGGAGATGGGCCTCGGCTTGCCCCTGCCTTCAGGGGGCATTATTGCTCATCCCTGGGCCATGCTGAGAACCTCCACTTGCACCTCCTCATCTCCTGTCCACCCTGCATATGGGTGGTGTTCAGATGACTCTTCCTAGGGTCCAGCTTTAACCCTGCCTCCCCAGCTCAACAACCTTCAGTGGCTCCCCATTGCTTTGCAAATTAAGAACCGAACCGTATTCTTCAGCTCGGCATGCAGGGGTCTTCATAACCAGACCCCAATTCATCATTTTTCCCTCCTTCCCAGCAGCTGTCTCATATAAACCCAACCCTCTAGCTTCCTAACATGCTCAGCTCTGCACCCTCTCAGCAAGCAGAGACCTATCACCCTAAATGCCAGGTTTCCCTTCATACCTGTCACAGCGTCACATGTATAAAAGTCAGATGAGACCAAGTGCTGGCGAAGATGTGAGGAAACAGAAATAGATACAGCTCTTGTGGAGGATGATTCTGAAGTGCTTCACGAAGGTGAGTCTGTATAGATCCATCGCCCCAGGATTCCCATTCTCGGGCATTCATCCCCAGAAAAACTCAGGCTCTTACAGGAAGATGGACTGGTCTGTTCATTCCAATGTTATTTGCAAAAGCGGAGAGTCAGCCTACAGATAGGAAGCAGCCTACAGATAGATCTCCCACCAGGGGAATAAGCTGCCCTGTGGCACCTGGGCTGAATGAATGACCGCAACGGTATTTCTCATTGTTCAGTCTGACAATGTGACTTCCACATTCTTCCTACTGAGAGCTGGGTCCATGTCCCTTCCCTTGAACCTTGATGAGAGCTGTGACTGCTCCAATCAATAAGTATAGCAGAGGGTTCTCTTTCTTCTCACTCTCTCTCTTTCTCTCTCCCTCGGTCTCCGGCCTCCTCCACTTGTCCTGGGAACCCGTGCTGTGAGGAGGCCCAGGTCACATAGGGAGGCCCCAAGCAAGGGTCCCTGAGTGCACAGCCAGCATCAGCTTTTGGATAAAAGATCAAATGGGCTTTGAGAAGAGTCCACCACCCCGGCCCCCGGCTTTGAGTCTTCCAGAGGAGACCCAGATTTCAGGAATTGGAGAGAAGCCATCCCTGACTTGGAGTGAGCATCAGATCCACGGCTGTTCCACACTACGAAGGTTTGGGGAAACACGTGATAGAAACGGAACCGTGGCACATGTGAGTGCTGAGCTGTGCAGAGAGCATAAAGAGGAAATGAGCACTGCTGCATTGGCCAGCATGTCATTGACTTCAAACATATACTTTCAAAATGACAAGTAGTGGAGGTGTGAAATGTCATACTGTTTCTATAAATTAAGACACAAGAGCAGGTACGTGGGGCCGCACAGGTGACGTCAGGACGGGTAAGACTGGGATGAGGGATGAAACAAGCAAGAAAATAGAAAACTTAAAATGGACATTCTCTAAAACTTCCAAAAGAAAAAAGTTGATTAAAAGGAAACCAAACATACGCCAGCGGCTGTGGTTTGCCTCCCCAGATCTATGCTCTGTGGATTCTTCCCACTCACTCATCTGGCTGCTAGCATCCAGCGAGGCACTGGGGACACCGGTGAGGAGGGCTTAGGCCCTGTCAGGCACCTCCCTGTCCAGTTGAGAAGGGCACTGGGTTCCCTGGAGGGCGTTTGCTGGAAGTTCCAAGGTGGGTCAGGATACAAGGGAGAGGATGCACGGCAGGCGCAGGAGGGGAGGGAGGCCTAGGGACTAAAGTGGACAGGGAGGTGGTGGGCTTGGTGGCGCCCTGCCTGCATGGAAGGATGGCTGTGGGTTGGGGATGTGTGTGTGTGTGTGTGTGTGCCCTCACAGGGATGGGGAGACAGGAAGGTGACAACTCATTCACTTTGAGACGTTTTGCTTTTTTTGGATGGGGGAGTCCTTCAGTCCCAGAATTCGGACGTGTCCAACAGTGATCAGAAATCTTGAACCGTGCTCCTGGGAGGGCAAGAAACCCCGACTGAAGGTGACGGCTTTGCGGGGTCAGCCTCCGAGCGCGAGGAGCACGCATCCCGACCTCCCCCTGCCCTGCCCGAGACTGTTCTTGGGCCGTGAACTGCGAGCCTCTCTGACCTGGGGCGCATCGAAATGCGCCACGCCGCGAAGGTAGCGATTCCCGCTTGCGCCTCCGCCGGCAATTCTGTCTCCAAACTGGGCGTCGCCACTCACCTGGACGCAGGACTTCGATCCTGGCCGGCTCCGCCACCAGCACCGAGCACAGAGGCAGTGGCCTGGGCGAGCACCAGTCCGGTCAGTTCGCGCGTCCTGGTCTGACCCTGCGCTTTAGCGTCAACAATCTGCCCAATTGCCCACACCTACGCCTCGCCGACCAGGCTTCGCCGCTGCAGTTGTCGCTGGAAAGTCTCTGGGACCCGGCGTGGGAGACTCAGAGTGTGGACGCGCCAGCCTCTGCCCAGCTGGCGCCCGCTCTCTCCGCAACCCCCAGACAGCGGGCGCCCAGAGGAAAAGGGTGCACGGTCCTCGCTTCGGATCCACCGCCCCTCTTCGCTCCCATCCCAGGCCCCACGCGGCAGTGTGTGGAAGCGCCCCTCTCATGCGCGCCCCCCAGAGGCAGTGGGAAGACACCCGCGAGCGTTATGCGCTCAGGGCCACCACCCGCCTGGTGGTGGCCAGCCTCTACTCCCAACAACCTGGCACCGTCAGGGACGCGTATCGTCCGCAGTTATAGGATCAGAGACACAAGACGCCTCCTCCAGGGCCACACAACCCTAGAGCGGAGGGAATTAGAACTCAGACTCAGAGGAAGCCCGCCAGGCCTGAGGGAGAAATGGAAATGCCACCAACCTGGGCAGGCGCGTGGCTGGACGGGGCAGGAGTGTCCAGGCGCCTCTCACAGACAGACCCAGGGGAGCCTGTGTGAACTGGACGGCTATCAGAAAAACACTTCTCCCCACAGACATTGTCTTTTTATCTGGCCCCTCTCTGGCCTCAGTTTCCTTATCTGTCAAAAGCGCCCTAGTGTAGACGGTGTCTGCCCCAAGGCTAGCGCTCCAAACTAATCGAATCGGGCGCTCTGTCCCAATTTCCTTGGCCCAGCCCCCTCTGGCTGGGGTACCTCTGCTCCTTGGAGTCTCTCTGACCCTGGACATCCCAGGGAGCAGGGCTTGGGAGACCTCAGCTCCTCCCTAAGATCCCAACTCTCTCCACTTTGGCTTAGTGGCCTCATCAACAACATGGAGGGAGGAGCCCCCATCTGTGGGCTGCCTCCAGGCTAAACAACCCGGGGAGTCCCTGTCATTGATTATTTTTGCCCCTCTTGGGCTAGGATGCCGGGGAAAAGGAGATGGGCTGAGCATCTTGTCCTAGAGTCCCTGGAAAAGTCCTCCCACTCGAGATCGCGGCAGCCACTGAGCACTAGAGGTCCTTCCTGGCAGCCGCCAGAAAGCGCACCCAGGACACGCTCCCAAGAGGCGCACCATTTTGTCTCTGCGAACCCAGGCCGCGAGGGCCCAGCTGGCTAGGCCTCAGCCGCTCCTGGAGCCCCACCGCCCTGCCAACCAGCCGGACTCCGGGGCATCAGTGAAGGAATTCCAGGCTTGCCGGAGCCACCTACCCTCTGGGGGAGTCTCTTCTCTCTTCTCCCGTCAGTTTTCTCCGCTGAAAAATGGGGGCGATGCTCCCTCCACCGTGCTTTTTTGGAAGAATTAAACAAAGCGGAAGCCCCAGGCCTGCGGTCACCTCCGGGAACGCGGGCGGTACTCGGGTGGAGAGGGGCCCGGGGCTGGCCCTGGGAGGATGGATGTATCTCTGCGAAATAACTCGCATCGGGTGAAGCCGGCTTAACCCGCGCGTCCGCGCAGTGACCTAATGTAGGTAAGTCTGAAGTCGACGCCGGAACGGAGACAGCTCCAGGGTGCGTTATGTTCCCGAACTTCCCGCTGCAGATATGGGAGGACCTCCCCACCCCTTTAGAGCGAAGAAACGGAGGCACAACGAGGGAAGGGGCCTGCCCCCAAGACCTTCGCCCAGGGCAGAGGCTGGGCCAAAAGCTCCCACCCCCTTCTAAGGCCCTGGCTTCCCCTGGAGCGGGCGGTGGGGGTGCTGGCGCGGTGAAGACCTGCTTGGTAACATCGAGCGGGCTGCCAGCGGAGCCCTGTGGTTGCACTTCCTTACATACTGGTACCGAGCCCGGGAACTGAAGAGTTCTACCGAACTACAGTTGGCATTGAAAGCATCTTTCCTTAAGTGCAAATATTAAGATATGCCACATTTCGCAGTCCTGTTTTGGCAGTGTTCCCATTTTTAAATTACACACAAAGTCTTAAATAAAAAAATGTGGCCCAGCCTCTTGCAGTTTCTTGGGAGCCCCGGGGTCTCCACGCCGCCCTCCACACACACACAGCCATTCAAACGCACACTCGTGCACACACCACGCGCGCGCACACACACAGTTACTCACGGTCGGTCCAACACCCTCCTCGCAGCGGGGTAATTACGGCTCTGGCCGGACGGTGATTGGCCAGCCCGTTCCTCATCGGGGCCCCACAGCCAATGGGTGGCCGCTCAGCCCAGGCCCCGCCCCCACGGAGCGGGTGGCGCGGGACGGGGGAACTGATCACGCGGGATCGGACCCGGCGCGACCCCCCGCCTGCGCCCGGGGCCGCCCGCCCTCGGCTGCGCCGCTGCCCGCGCGCTCAGGTCTGGGCAGCGTCTCCCGGCAGCGGCCGCGCTCGGGGCCGGCGCAGCGTCCTCGGGGCTCAGCGGGCCGCCCTCCCGGCCCAGCCCGCGACCCCCCGCCCCTGCTGGCCCCTCCCCCTCCCCGCCCCCAGTGAGGCCGCCCCGGCGGCGACCAGAACGGCGACCTGAAAGGCGAGCCAGGCGGCTGCCCGATCAGCTGTCGGCGCGCACTCGCTCCCGGCCCGGCCCAGCCCAGCCCGGCGCGGAGGCCGCCGCCTGCCCTGCGGGGCCCGACGCCAGCGGTCCGGGTAGCAGCTCCAGGGCCGGCCCGCGCGTGCGCCCGGGAGCCGCGCGCCACCATCCCCAGCGGGGACCGAGGAGCCCGGCCGAGCCCGAGAAGCCCGCGGCCGCGATGCCTGACGAGCTGACGGAGCCCGGGCGCGCCACGCCGGCCCGCGCCTCCTCCTTCCTCATCGAGAACCTGCTGGCGGCCGAGGCCAAGGGCGCAGGGCGCGCGACCCAGGGCGACGGCAGCCGGGAGGACGAGGAGGAGGACGACGACGACCCCGAAGACGAGGACGCCGAGCAGGCGCGGCGGCGACGGCTACAGCGGCGGCGACAGTTGCTCGCGGGCACCGGGCCCGGCGGGGAGGCGCGGGCCCGTGCGCTGCTCGGGCCGGGCGCGCTGGGCCTCGGTCCTCGGCCGCCCCCCGGTCCCGGGCCGCCCTTCGCTCTGGGCTGCGGAGGCGCAGCGCGCTGGTACCCACGGGCGCACGGTGGCTATGGAGGCGGCCTCAGTCCTGACAGTGAGTGAGGGCGCGGGGAGGGTGGGTCAGGCGGTGGGGCCCGACTTCCTCCCTGCGCATTTGCTGGGGGACTTCGGGCTCGTCGCCGCCCGTTCTGGGCCATCCTCTCCCTTCTGTGGAACGGCGTCTGGGCCTTGTGGGGCCCCCAGGAGCCCCTGGTTGGGCTGGTTTGGAGGCCCACCCTCTGGGGCAGGAGCTCCGCTAACGAGGAGGTTTTGCAGGCCATAGCTTCACCCATTGCCGGGCTCCTCCGGTCCCAGGGAGGCTGGGGACAGGGGACAACAGGAGGCCAAAGAAAAAAGAAAGGAGAGTGAAAGAGGATAGGGAAAGATACAGGAGAAGGCGAAAGAGGCTGAGAAAGAAAATGGGAGGATGGAGGAAGAAAGGAATGTGCTGCGGGAGAGAGAATGGGGTGGGGGGAGGGGAAGATGCAGGAAAAAGAAACCCAAGAGTGATCCGAGAGAGAAAAGAGGAGGAAGAGATGGAGGGAAAGGGAGACAAAGTAGCATCAGACGTGGAAAAATAAAAGGGGGCATTGAGCAGAGGGTGCAGTGTTGTGGGGGTGGGGCCGGGGAGGGGAGCCATCTAACATGGCAGCTGTGCCCCCCCAGAGTCCTGTTTCCTCTGTGCCCGCTGCAGACAGCCTGGGGCAGGGGCCTGGGTCTCCCTCTTGGTCCTTGAGGGGCATGGGCTGTGCCAGGCAAGAAGGGAGCCTGTTCTGAGGCCCCCAGTCCAACCCCTCTCTCTTCTTTTTCTGCCCCTCCCCCTCCTTGCCTTTGTTCCCTGCTGAGGGCTTGAGACTGGGGCTGGGGGTTCTCAACCCCAGAACCCCTTTGCCCCCTTGCTTGGGTATCTGACCCCTTAGTTCTGCTTCCCCTCCCCAGGGTTCCAGGGTCGCTGCCTCCCTTTTGTACCTGCCCTTTAGGAAGACCCCTGGGAGGAAGGCCAGGAAAGCCAGTCCAACCCCCCAAGCCCTGGCTTAGCCAGCCCCCCACCCCCAACACAGCCTTTGGACCTTGAGGCCAGCTGAGGACGTGGGCCCTCTGCAGGCTCCGGCTCTGGGATCCATGCTGTCCTCTGTATGAATATTAGTGTGTGCTGGGGAGTAAGTGGCCTACGACCCTCACTCACTTGTTAGATAACCCTTTCCATGTCGTGGAGTGATCCTTTGCAAAAGCCCCCACATCTCGGCACCCACACTCAGGAAGTCTAGGCCCCCACCCCCTTCACGTAGACTTGAGCAGGGCTTCCGTGGTTTCCCAGAAATCGAGCGACTCTGTCTAGTGCCCTTCTGGGGGAGACTATGGAAAGGGTTTCTCAGGGTGAAATTTGTTCTCCACTCATCCCTGGGGTGCATCCCCTCCTGCAGCCCAGGTGGCACCCCTGCAGAGGCGGCTCCCCCTTATTTCGTGCCATGCGGGTTAGGGTCCCACTTCCTCACTGGAGCTGGCAAGTCAGCCTAGTGCCTTGTGGCAGCACATGGGCCTCTGTGAGTTTGGGGTATTGGGGGGAGGCAGGGACTCCCCAGATCTAGTAGCATGCACCACAACCTGCTGCCTGACTCCCCTGTGGGTGCTGTGAGGGCACACACCATGGGGATTGGCCACGGGCGTGAGTGGGATGTGCACACTCCTTGGGCATGAGGCACAGAGCTGGAACCACGCACAGAAGCCCACCAGTGTGCGCACCCCTTGCATGAGCGTGCAAATGCTGCAAATACACTGCAGGCACACACCCGGCCGAGTGCACAGCCTTCCAGGGGCCCAGGGCCAGGCCAAACTCTGCCTCCACCTCTAACCTGTCAACCTGGGCCTGCCCTTTGCACGGGAGGCTCCAGACCAAGGCAGAAAAGCAGCGGGTCCGAGTCAGCCTCCAGAGCCCTGCAGTGGGAGGCTGCTGCCCTCTTCAATCTGGGCAAGTGCTTCTGGGTCCCGGCTGGCCTCTTTAACCTGACATCATCCCTTGCCAGCCTGTGGGCCTCTTCTTGTTCCTAGGAGATGAGTAGGGGAGCTTGGTACTTGGAACATGAACTCAGACACCGCCTGTGAGCTTCTGGTTTCAGCCCAAACCCATGAGGCTGAACCTCCAGTCTTGAAAGTGTTTGGGGCAGGACTCAGCTGCTGCATGTTGCTTAGAGTGGCATGTGCCCGTGTTCCCTTTGAGCATGATTGTGGCTGGTGTGGACTTGCCTTGTGGACACTGGGTCAGGGCTACAGGAGTATGTGGTGTGGGGGTGACAGCCTCACCTGATGGGAGTTCTCTTTTGGGGATCCTTTGCATTGGTTTGTCCTCCTACTATGGAATGTTTCTGTGCAAGCGGGCAGAGGGCGCGGGAAGAGGCCTGTGAACTCTTCATTCCTCCTTCTGGGGAGCTTGGCGTGGGGCTGGATGCCAGGTGGCAGGGGGTGTCCTGTGCTTGTTTTTCGGTGTGAACATTTCTCGGAAGGACATCTTTCCTCTTGTCCCGGGACTTCTGCGGGAGGTTTGTGTGTTTTTCCGGGCCGCCCGTGGTGCAGCTGGGAGTGGGGAGTGCTCACTGGGGTCAGCCTGCTTTTCTTGTGTAGTATTTTTGTTTCTTTTCTTTGCTCTGCATCCCTTTGTTGTCCTCTGGCATGGGTGTGCGTTTGTGTTTGTGTGTTGCGGGGTGTTGGTGTGTTGCGGGGTGTTGGTTTGGAGCTGCTGCCTGGTCTCTGGGCCGCCTCCCACGGTTCTGACAATGTGTGCATCCCCAGAGCTGCTGGGTGCCCAGCCCTGTGCTGGAAGGTCTTCCTGCTTGTGGCTGTGAGCGACCTCAAGGTGGGGACGGCTGGCCTCAGTGATTGAGTCTGGTAATCAGTGCCCTAGAACCAACGGTGGTGCCCTCTCTCCCCTGCAGCCAGCGACCGGGACTCACCGGAGACGGGCGAGGAGATGGGCCGTGCGGAGGGCGCCTGGCCGCGAGGCCCCGGGCCGGGAGCGGTGCAGCGGGAGGCAGCGGAGCTGGCGGCGCGTGGCCCGGCGGCCGGCACGGAGGAGGCGTCGGAGCTGGCCGAGGTCCCTGCGGCGGCTGGGGAGACACGCGGCGGCGTTGGCGTGGGCGGCGGCCGAAAGAAGAAGACGCGCACAGTCTTCTCCCGCAGCCAGGTCTTCCAGCTGGAATCCACCTTCGACCTGAAGCGCTACCTGAGCAGCGCCGAGCGCGCCGGCCTGGCCGCCTCCCTGCAGCTCACCGAGACGCAGGTTAAGATCTGGTTCCAGAACCGCCGCAACAAGTGGAAGCGGCAGCTGGCAGCCGAGCTGGAGGCGGCCAGCCTGTCCCCGCCGGGAGCGCAGCGCCTGGTCCGCGTGCCGGTGCTCTACCACGAAAGCCCCCCGGCCGCAGCCGCCGCTGGGCCCCCGGCCACCCTGCCCTTCCCGCTGGCGCCCGCCGCGCCCGCGCCGCCCCCACCGCTGCTCGGCTTCTCCGGGGCCCTCGCCTACCCGCTGGCCGCCTTCCCGGCCGCCGCCTCCGTGCCCTTTCTGCGGGCGCAGATGCCTGGCCTGGTGTGAGCCCCGCCTGCCGGGCCCTCTCCCCACGACCCTGTGGACCTGTGTGGACGCGCGATTCAGCGGCAGGCGCAGGGCTCAGGGGGCGTTAGGGAAGGGATGGTCGCTCCTGCGGCCTCCTAGATACCTCGGGAGCGCAGGCCGCGGCCGGGCGGGCCTCAGCTTCTGTGGGGAGCGCCTCTAGAATGTAATGGGACGCCCCACCCATTTGCCAGGCTGGATCCCCACTCGAACAGGGGGCCATGCAGAGACTCTGGGCTGCGCAGCCCCCGGCGCCACGGCCACCCCCCGGCCTCAGCGAGGAGCGGTCGGCCATGGCCACCCGGGGCAGCTGCCCTCAGGCCAAGCCCAGCGCAACAAAGGAAAACTACGAACCGGCTGTCCAAGGCTGAGCGGTGACTGTCCCCACAGACTGCCCCCAACACTAAACGTCCCTTTCCTGGGACCCAGACAGCAGGCCGGCCCGGAGGGCTGTGCTACCCCTCTCGCGGGTGCTGGTGGAGAAAGGACCCTGGACCTGTGGGTCCCATCGTCCGTTCCAGGAGCAGGCAGGCTGGGGCTCTCTGCAGACGTCGCAGCCTCCGGGTTGTTGTTTTTTTAAATGAATCTACTTATTTGCGTATGGAATAAAAAGGGACATTTTCTGGACAGTTTCACTGCTTTGTGATCACGAGGGCAGAGACAGCTCAAGCTGCGCTGGGTGCCGTCCCTCCTGGGAGCACCTTTCAGTGCTGACTGGGGACACCTGGAGCCCAGGGCTGGGCCAGGTGCAGGTGGGCAGGGCAGACCCTAGTCGGAGGTGATGAGCGCTGTGCCCCTCTTCTATGACACACCACAGGGAAGGGCCAGGAGCCGGGAGTAGGGAGGAGGAAGTGATGATGGTGTGTCCCAAGTTCTAGAGCCTTGACTGAAACCGAAAGGCAGGAGCAGGTGAAGGCAGAGGCCCACTGATGGCCGCTGGCATTCGTCACAGGGGCTCGGCTGTGTGGCGCCCCGTGTGCACAGCCATTTCCTATCTGGTATGGAATTTTTCTTTGGGCCAAAACAAAGCCGTGGCACTCAAGGTCAGGCCACCGTGCTCTTGCCTTGGGTCTTCCTCCCGGCCTGCAGTCTCTGGTCTCTGGTCAGCTGGAGGACTCAGGTGGTGGACAAAGCTGTTCACGGCCGGTGATGATGGGATCTGAAGGAGAGCTCGTTCCCCTATTCTGGGCCACTGGGGCCACCCCACCTCCATCAGCCCCAAGCTGGCTGCTTTTGGGTGGGGGAGGGACAGTATTTGGTGTGTGTTTCAGCCTAGGAGAAATATGTTGTTCGGGTTTGAAAAGTTCACTTCCATGGCAGAATTGAGCCCCTAAGAAAACCCATCTCCCTGTCCTGCTTCACTTGGGTGTAGACGCTCCCCGGGTGAGATGGGCAGCAGCCGGGCCATACGCTGGTCTTGGGGCAATCAAGGTAGCGCCAGACGGCCAAGGAGAGCGTGCAGTGGGCCTGGGGGTCAGTGCATCTGTGTGTCTCTACCATCCAGCTCCTGACCCAGAATCATGTCCTCCAAGCCCCAGCCCCCGCCCCGGCCCATCAGTTGGTTCCTTACTGTGAGGCCAGGGTTCCAGCAAGCCCAGGGGGCCTCCTTCAGCCTCTGGGCCCGCAGGTCCACACCTCTGGGTTCCAGGCCCTGTGTCATGACAGCGTGGGCATTTTGAGAGATTCTTAGAGAGGGCAGCCATCCTTGGCCTTGCAGCAGGCCTCCCCCAACCCAGTCCCCACCCTGCAGGCTTGTTGCTGCCTGGGCCCCCTCCAGCCCTTCCCAGGCTTGTGTCCGGGCTCCCTCGCTGCTTTGGGGCTGCGCCCCAACTGCTTTCCTGGCTAAACCAGGAAGTCCGTTCTCACTCGGTTTCATCTGGGAGGGACTCAGGTTAGGCCTCAATAAAACTAATGAAAGCTCCCTGTTGGCGGCCATGAGGGGCAAGGGGTGTCCCAGGAGGCTCTTCGTGGCCACTCAGGCAAAGTCCCAACCCTCACCCCCCGCCCCTTCTGACCCCTCTCCCCACTGGGCCCTCTAGACCTCGCACCCCTGACTCAGGCTCCTGGGACCCTCGCCCTCTGGGCTTCTGTCGCTTTTGTGCTGGCCTCACCCAGTCACCGGGACACATCGCTGCGAGTCCAGGAAAGGGGCCAGGGCACAGCCGGCGACACCGCGGAGCCTCCGAGTCCCACACAGGCCCAGCAAGCAGAAGCAGCAGCAGTAGCCTCTCCTTTTGAGGTCCAGGCACTGTGTGCCGGTGGCACTGCCTCGGCCTTCCCAACGGCGATGCTACTCAGACTGGCGAGGCCTCGGGCACTCGCACCACGAGGACGCCTGCCTCCTCGGCCCTATTAGAAGGGGGTCATTGAAGCTCAGGCCAAAGGGGTTATCGCTGTGATGCAACTGTTTTATTCGACTGCTTCTGGCCGATGTGGGTGCAGTCCCAAGGTTGTGTGGTGACTGCAGGGTGCCTCTTAGCGCAGTGGTGGCGCCCAGGTCCTCAGGCGAATCCCCTTACAGGCGGTTCAGTCAGCACTGGAGCCCTTCACAGGTGGCCTTAACCACTCCAGGAGTCACCTGACTCCGGGCCACCAGGAAGCTGGAAGGGTGAGAGCCCTATGGGTGCCAGTTTTAGATCGTCCACTCTGGCTACTAGGGAACCATGGAACCGGTCACCAAGCCTAGTCTTGGCAGCCAGCATCAGAGGGTGCAGGGTCTACACAGTTCAAATGCAGGGTAGATTTGGAGAGAGTGGATGTGTCTTTCGATAGAATTAATTAAAAATCGGGCTGGAGAGCGTCTTATGGGCCTCGACTCAGGGCTTGCCCTGGTGGGAAGGAGGGAGCCGGCGTGGGAGGAGGGGACCGTTCCAGAGCTCAGGGAAGGGCTGGGGCCTGGAACACTGTTAAGAGAGAAAACAGATCCCAAGCTGGATTAGGCCAACTGGGCGCAGGGAAGCTGGCCCTGCCCTGTTATCCGTGGGGCTCTGGCGTCTTGGGGCTGGCACCAAAGGCAGAACAAACCAGAGAAAAGCAGTGTAGGACCTGGAACCCAGAGAGCCCTGGAGAGCAAGCGGGACCAGGCTGGGGGCAAGCAGGGGGTACGCCTGGCCCCTCTGAGTCCTGAGCTCCGGCGCCATCGATCGCGGGTGCACCTCGAGCGCGTTGGCTCCACCACTGGCAGAAGATGAATGGCTTCGATCTGCCTCCACCACATGCGCCATGCACCCTCCCCCCTCGCGGGTTCCACCCACCTCCTCACCCTCTCCGCACCTGAGTCCGGATTCCAGCCACCCTGAGCTGCTCAGGGCTTCCAGTTGCACAGCTCCGAGCACCAGTGGGTGCAGCGGGCTCTGGACATCCTGGACACACGCCTATACTGGACCCAGTCCGACTTCCCCATGACCGTAATCACACCCCTTCTCTCCTCCAGGCCTCCGTTTCCCCACCGCACACCTATGGTGAGAACTAGGGTCTGTAATTTGTAAATGCTGGGCCTCCTGTGATTTGAGTGAGGCCAACAGGACATCCCTCCCCAGCTCCCAGGGCCCATGCTGTGGTGGGACTGGTGGGTGACCCACCTCCTCTGGGCCTCTCAGTGCTCTGGGACTATAAAAGCTGAATCCCCACTGGAGCTGGCCTGAGAGGTGGGAAATCAGCTCCCCACCCTGCCCCAGTGTTGGGCATCTGGGACCTCCAAAGGCAGAGTCCATACCCAGAGCACCAGGAAAGGCCACTACGGTGGTGTTTGGGCGTGGAGGATGTGCTGTCTGGGCTTAACGGTCCTGTCCTCGGGAAATGACTATAGAGCAGAGATTCCCAGCCTAGGTCAAATTCCACAGGGATCGGAGCTACTGGAATCCTGGAGGCCGACCTGGGCCTGCCCCATTTCCCCTAGGTGGTCCCACCGCCCTTGGCCACTCCAGGCCCTTGGCCGAGAGAGCAGGCAGCAACCAGGGCTCTGTCCTCCCTGCTTCCTCCAAAGCCAAAATGAGAGACAGGCAGGTACCCAGGCAGTGCCCTTGGAGGTGTGGATTCCCCCGCGCGCTCCACCCAGCTTGGCCTTTGCACTCCCGAACCCCCATGGGGCTCCTCTGCCCGCCGACTCCCATTCAGGCGGGAGCACCCTGAGAAGATCCTCATCAGGTGCAGGGGAGGGGTGCCCAGTGCCCTCACCCATCCGCATGCAGGGAGGTTTCCCAGATCCTTGGCTCTGAGCCCACTCCGAAGGCAACCCAGCTGGGCGGAGACGGAAGGCTCTGGACTCTGGCTGGGTGAGCAGCACCAGGGAGGCGGGAGAGGCCGGGTGGGCTTCTCTTTCCCTTTCTGTCAGTGCCTCTCCCCCAAGAGTCTTTCGTGGCCTTCCGCCCCACCTTGCAACTTGTTGGAAAGGGAAACCGGGGTTCTGAGAGGGGCAGGAATTCTGGAGCACGGTGGCACTGAGGCTCCCCGGCGCCCTCCTCCACCCGCCTGAGGGAGGCCAGCGGGCTACTCCTGCGCTGGTGCTGCTGCTGTTCCTCCCCGCCTGTGCACTCATATGCTTCATACCCTTCGGCCACCCTGCCCTTCTGGTAGCCAGAGTGGGCATGCCTATCCAGGGTCCCGCTGGGAAGTGGGTCCCAGCCACCGGAAATTCGTTCGCTGGGCCTCCTGGACTCGCCGATCCCCAGGTCCCCAAGGCGGATCACCCAATGAATGACTGCCCTGGAGGGAAACGGAGAGGTGGACACCCCTTCATAGGTGGGCCGGAGAGGGGACAGCCCTGTCCTCACAGAGCTAAGCTCTGCGTGTCATGCACGGAAGGACACACAGGATCGGGCGCCGAGAACAGCTAAGTGGTCGAAGAGCCAGCCTCACCGCCTGGGGAGCAAACGGCCCTCGCCACGTTCTGGAGCTGTGGGGCTGAGTTTTTGTTTATTTTTTATTACAAAAGTAATAGTGCTTTTTATTATCTGGACATTGCAGTGAAGTTCAAATGGAAATACGTCTGCACTTCCAACATCAAAAGCCAACTGCCTTTGAGTGTGGATTTACTGGGAATTGTAACTTAAGCCGTATTGTTATTTTAAAAAAAGTTATTATCAGTGAAAATGCATTTATGTATTCAGTGAAAATGTGTCTGTGTTTGCTTTATAATAAGGCAACAAAAATAAGTTAGTACAAATAAAAGGAGGCCAATAGAGGGAACTAGATTGGTCACGGTTTAAGAACTGTGGGATAGGGGTGGGTACACGGGAATTCACTTGAAGCCTCCCTCGATTTTGTTTTATATTTGAAAACTTCCATAATAAAATGTTTCAAAAAGTGACTACCAAGAAACATTAGGGGTTTGTGCTCCCCAGCGGCTGAATCTCTGCCTGGGGCTGTTTTGGTTGCAGGTTTATCTACGCCCAATCGGGGTCTCACTTTGGTCCAGCTTGCACTCTGCTTTTAAATTTTTTTCTACTTAGCTAGAATGTTCGCATTTAAACCCATTAACGTGGTCTCTGTAGAATGATTTCAGTCTTAACCCTTCCTCTTTTCCACGCAGCTTTCCCGGCCTCCGCCCCTTCTCCACTGGTCGTGGTGCCCCCTCCGGGTTCCCCCACCCAGGGCACCTGGCGCCGGGGCGTCGCCTCCGCTGGGGAGGCCTCAGACCGCGTCGAGGACATATCAGGGAGGACGGACAAGGGCTGAAGGGTCCTTGGCGCCGCCTCCCGGCTCCCCAGCCCGAGTCACCCACGCGGACGTGGTTCCGACTTCGCTGCAGTGTTTGGGAGGTTGCGCGCAGCGGCCTCCTCTTGGTCCCGGGTGCGTTGTCTTTGGTTTCCGGGCACTTCCTTGACGCACTCGGCGTGCTTGGTCTGCAGCGCCCGACCCACGCGAAAGGTGCGCCCCGCCATCAAGAGGATGGGCGCCTTGATCCCGGGGCTCTGAGGGTCCAGACAGACGCCAGAGAGAGGCGCAGAGGCCCCTGGAACGACGGCGCCCCAGGCCAGAGCTGTGGGCCTCCTCGGGTTTCGCCAACCGCCCGGGAAGGCGCCTGGCGGACACTCCTGAAGCGCAGCCTCGGCCGTGCCCCCGGGGCTCCGCCTACGCTGCTCCGCGGTCCCCTTCGCCTGTCTTCTTCCGATGCTCCTCTGCTCGTCCCTCTTCGCGGCGCACGAGGATCCCGCGCGCGCGTGCATCTGCCCTGGTCACCGAGGCTCCCCCGTCGTTCCCTACCCCCCTTTCCCGAGCGTGATTCTCCCTACTTCTGACCGGCCCGAGTCGGGGTCGGGGAGACAGGGCGTGTTTATTTCTTTGCGGAGAGGCTCCTCGGCACAGGCCGCGGGAAGCGCGGCCTCCGGGGCGCAGCGGCGCTCTGATCCCGACCCGCCCCTCCCAGGCCCCGCGTCGCCCGGTCGGGCAGTGGGAAGTCGGTGCCGCAGCTTCTGGTCCGGGCCCTGCCTGCCCCGCTGGGGCCCTGGAGCCAGGTTCATCCCTGCTCGGCCTGCGCTTCCCAGCAGGTAGAGGAGGGCAGCGGCGCCCGGACCCGCGGGGCTGCCCGACCTAGATGGAACGGAACCCCGACAGTGGCGCCAGCTCCGCTGTGTCCGGGACCCCGCGGACGCGACTCGGCCCCGCCTCTTCACCGTCTCCGGCCGCCCGGGACCTTCCCAGCTCGCGGCCCTCCCGGGCGCCCCGCCCCCTCCCCGCGGTTCCGGCCCCGCCCCCTCCCCCGCCCTCGCCCCCGCCCCCGCCCGGCTCACCTGGCGTCTCTCTGGCGTCTGGAAGTCTGGCTCAGCCTTCAGCCTCGCCCCTCAGTTCTCACCTCGCCACTTCTCGCTCCCCTCCCCTACCCGGCCCCTTACCCCTCGGGGTCTGCACAGTGGAGCCGTCCGGTCTCCGCACCGCCACCCCGAGAAGGGCGGTGAGCTCAAGCTGCGGGCAGGGCATGGGGCTGCGGAGAAGGGAGGCGTCTGATCCGCCCGGGCCTCCTTAGGCTTCTGGAAGGAAGCGGTGTTAACCCGAAGGCTAGAGCGGAGCGAAGCTCGAGGCGCGCAGGTGGAGACACGGCGGGCCGCCTTGCGTCTTAGCCCGTGGCGGGGGACGCGGGGCTCTCTGCCGCCTGGCCCCTTCGGGTCGAGCCCTTCCCTCCCCACTCCCCAGGAAGGGTTAGATTCCTGGACCGTGCGCGGTGCCTTCACTGGCCCGCTGTGTGGCTTTGGGAAAGTCACTTCATCTCTCTGAGCCCGTCTTGCCCATCTGCGGAGTGGTCATCGTAGCGGGGGTGAAGGCGGCGCGATGTAATGACGGGAGCGCGGGTGCATTGCTTGCTGCTGTGTACACAGCCTTCCGTGTTCCCGCTCAGCACCCACCATGACCCGGAGCACCTCCGAGGCGCTCAACGCACGGGCCGGTCCCCTCAGCCTGTGCCCGGACTCCTGCAGTATATCGGTCCCAGCGGTTTTGGCCCCGGGTATAGGAAAGGCCAGGGGGCGCCCCCACTTCCATTTGGCGCGCAGTCATGCTCTCACTGGGGCACCAGGGCAGCCACGCCGCGCGCACCCGGGGGTGTCCAGGCACCAGGGCCCTGCTGACCCGCGCACTTGTGCGCAACGGCGCTCCACGAACTCGGCTTCGCCCCTGACGCAGTTCGCGCTGTCAGCACCGCCGTTGGCCCCGTCGGGGCTCTGCCGGTTCTAATGGGGACCTAAGCCCTCCACTCCCACCACGGGCAGTTGTGCCTCCTTGCTCCCAACAACATGGTGGCGGGAATTGGGTATCCAGAGGTGGACACAGATCCGGGCCCAGAGCCGTGGGCCACTGCCCGCGCCTGCTCTGGAATGGCGAATGGCCCTTCCGCCTCCCCTGGAAGCTTTCTTCGGGCCGGGACGGGAGCTGATCAGCCCTTTGCCCGCCTTGTTCCACGGTATTCCCACGATGACGAAGGGGCGGGGGGATGTCCTCATTCGGGTCCCAGTGCGACTCCACGTCACATAGACCACGCACGTGTGTAGAGAAGGCAGAGACTCTGTCCCCATTTCTCTAGTGGCGGCAATGACAGGGCGAGGAGATGAGGATGCTGAGCCCAGCTCACCCCTGGTCTGGGTGAGTGGGGGAGGGTGTCAGCTCCGGAGGTCTCGCACCCTCCCCACTTCCTCAATCCTCCTCTCCCTCTTCCAGCGGGCTCTCCACATGGGGGTCTGAGAGGCAGTACCCTTGTGCCCCCAGGCTGCACCTCAGAGGGCCCCATACTGTGGAGTGCCTTTTATTTTTGGAATTTTCTAAGTCCCGCGGGCCTTTTCTGGGATTGGGGTGGAAGCTCTAAGCCAGCTCAGACCTGTAAGGCCCAGGTTCTGGGAGGGCTGTCAATCGGGACTAGAGAAATCGTGCTAACGGGATGGTGCTGACATTATGAGTTTGCGATGACTAAAACTGTTTATATAGACAAGAATCCCCCATATTTGCCTGAGGTTCCTCATATCCTGGGGGTGGCACTGTCAAGAGGCGTGGGGGGGGGCCAGCCTTGGAGCGAGCCCGCCTCCCCAGCAGACCCTTAGCCTGCTAGAAGAGACCTTGGCCAACTCTATCTCACCTGTGCCCATTTTACAGATAAGCCCAGTGTGGCCCCAGGAGAGGCAGAGGTGGGCTGCCCAGAAGCCAAATCCACCGGCCTCCTTCCTCCCCACTCTGCTCCTGCACCCAGCAAGGAGTGGGTCCAGCCAGGAGGGCACACCCCACCACAAGGGGTGCCCCAGGAACCAGAGGGGCTATTGCACCCCCCACCACCACCACCACCGCGTGACGAAGAGAGGAGGGAATGGGAGGGCCCAGTGGAAACCGAGTCTTTGAAGAAGCTCGCCCACCCCAGTGTCCCCCCAGGACCTCCCAGTGACGATGCTCCGAGAGTTTCATTCTCGACGGGGCCCAGTGGAGGAATGCACTCAGGACCGACTCCAGGACCTTCGTTTTTCGTTGCCTGGAGCTCAGCGTCCCTAGCGGGCCCGGGGCATTGGTGTATGTGTGCCTGAGTGTCACGGTGCCGACCTCTCCCGGCCGCCAGAAGCGAGGCCCCGGCCGCCCGGGGGCCTGCGCTCAGGGGGCACTCCCCCCATGACGTCCGGGCGAGGGGACTGCACAAGGTAGGGGCTGGCACCTCTCTCTCCCGAATGGACCTAGGCCTCCTGCCGGACTCAAAGGAGCTCAAATAGGCGCCTGGGTCTTGGGGCTCTGGCTAGTTCCTGGGGTCTTGCCGCGCCTGGCCCAGAAGCGCATCCCCAGCCGCGCCGGCCTGTTTTCTTCTGCGAAAATTGCGAGGCTGCTCCCTTTTGCCCCCTCACCCCTCGGTGTGTCTGTCTCGCTCTTTCTCTGCCGGTCGGCATCTCTTTCTGCTTCTCCGGACCTCTCTGCCTCGGCTTCTCACCCCCTCCCGCGGTCGCCGCTGCGCCTTTCCTAGAGCGCTCTCGGGGCTCCAGCTCCGCGCGCGTAACCGCAGCGTCAGCACATCCGGGCCTCGCTCATTTGATTTGGGTTTGTTTCTTAAATCGCGAAAATCCATTTCCCCCAAATGGACGGGGGCCTCGACCGGCTTGGGGGCGGTCGGCCTGCTGCCCCCTCCCCCACGCCGGTCCCCGAGGCCCGGCATTGATCCCCGTCTTACAGTACATCGCATTAGCCCTAATGGCTTAGCTGATGCTTCAACTTCTTTTTCGTTAAAAGCCACCCCTCGGCTTCACCCCTCCTCCGCCTCCTCTCCCCGAGCGCCCGAAGCCCTACTCTCTCAGGACCCACTGGCCCGTAGAGACGCGGCTCCTGGAACTGGGGCCCGGGGCTCGGCACGGCGCGTGTGGATGACCCTGGAGGAGCGCACTTCTCTGGGCAGGGGCAAGGGCAAGGGGAGGAGGAGGGAGGGGCTGCGGCAGTTTGGGATCCTCAAGGACCTCGAGTCCCCTGTCGCGTAAAATGCACGATTTAGACACAATCCAACCAGAAACGTCCAAAATTGTTTCCCGAACCCCCAGACTCAGACCCAGGGCGAACGGCGGAACGATCCGGAAGCTGGGAGACCCCTGCGTGCTCGCAGAGAGGCTCCAGGCTTCTGGGCTGCGGGTTCCACAGGCAGGGGGGCGGGGGGGTGCGGAGGCCGAGGCCAGGGATGGGCTCTAGGTCAGCCGTCACTTCCGAGAGAAGCTGGGCCGGAACCCGCGCCCCACCGGGTGCGGAAACTCGGGGTGAGACCTGGGAGGCCCGGCGCAGCAGGGAAGCCGCGGGGGAAGGAGGAAGGAGAAAGCGGAGGCTGCCCCAGACCCCGCCTCCTGCCTCCTACCTGGGGAGGGGGCCCCACGGGCAACAAGAATGCCACTCCAGGGGAAGGCCGCCGCCGCCCGACCCTCCAGGACTGAGGCTCCGGCTGGGCGAGGTTGGCGGCCTGGAGGCGGCTGCAGGGGAGGAAGTGGGGACGGCGTCCAACCCCATCTGTCCCCGACGCTTCCTCGGCGGCTGCATTGCATTTAATGTCGCAAGGAGACTCTGTTCGTTATTTTAAAAATTCAGAAAATTACAAGCACTGAAAACAAAAGGCATCCCAAGTTCGACTACCTGGAGATAGCCAGAGTTTCGGTTTGTTATTGAGATGGTCCGCTGTGTCGCCCAGGCTGGAGTGCAGTGTCGCGATCAGGGCTCACTGCAGCCTCCATTTCCTGGGCTCGAGTGATCCTCCCATCTCAGTCTCCGAGTAGCTGGGACTTCAGGCGCGGCCACCACGCCCGGCTAATTTTTATTTTTTGTAGAGAAGGGGTGCTGTATGTTGCCCAGGCTCGTCGTGAACTCCTAAGCTCAAGTGGTCCGTCTGCCTCGGCCTCCCCAAGTGTTGGGATTACAGGCTTGAGCCACTGCGCCCGACCAGAGTTTTTGATAAAGATTTTCCCTCATGATGTATGTAGTTTTTAAACAAGCAATGCATCGCCAAGGCACGAAATTCGAACGTATAACCAGGTAGAAGATGGAAAGCCTCCCTCCCCTCCTTCTTCAAAATGGGAAGTGAATGTACTTAGGGAGAAAAGCACAAATTTAAGAGTGCAATCAGAGGAATTTTGATAAATGTGCACACCCGTGTAGCCACCACCCGCATCCCCATTTTTTTAAGAAAGAAAAATGTCTACATAGACGCCTAAACGGTTTAAATTCAGAGAGACCTAGTGCCCCCTTCTTCCTCCCCTTCCCCTGCCCGGCCTCTTCTCCTCCTCCTAGTCTTCATTTGTACCAGAGCTACTCAGCACACAACTTAAAATGTCCTCCACTTCTACAAAGAGCATAAACCACTACCAGAAGAGATTCCTCATCCCACCCCCACCGGAGGACACAGCTGTCAACCCCGCCAGCTCTTTCTGCTTCTACCTGCCTCTATATTTCTAAATAGGACGCTTCTGCCACGATTGCTTGAATTCATTTTTTCGGTTCTTTCTTTTTTAAAAGGAATCTATCAACTGTCTATGTCTTGTCTGGAAGGTGGGAAGTTCACTTGCTCACATGCCACTCAAAAGCACTCAGGGCCCTTCCCTCCCTCTCTCCATTGGACTGAGCTGAGACGGTCCAGCGCTCACAGCGGCTTCCCATGAACAACCTGCACAGCTGGGCGTGCACTATGAGCACACGTTTGTTCTATACTAGTGGCCTTTTCCCCCTTGGTTTTCTGTGGTCCTGTTGTTCATCTGTCCCCAAGCTCCCTTCCAGCATGCTACTGTCCGCTGGAGGGCGTAGATCCCCAGGGACCCCACCACATTGAGTGGGGAGGGGGAGGGCAGGCTGGCCCCGTACAGGAACCTCCTCTTTCCAGCTCCCGCTGGATCCTGCTTTCAGAGAGCAAGTCCAGAGGCTTCTGCAGGTCAGCAGGCAGATTGGCTCTCACTCCCAGCCTCCCACACTCCCCAGGCCCTTCCTGCCCTCACGTGCACCTCCTCAGCTGCTTGAAACTTTCTCTGCGACTTCTGGGTCACATTTCACTCCCGGTTCACACCCAAGCACAGACTGGGAGTCTCCAAGGGTCCTGGCCACATCCCTGGGCTGCAGAGTGTCCTGGAGGGTGAATCCTTGACCTTGCTAAGTGCCAGGTGAGAGAACCTTCTGGACCTCTGCCAGAACTCTTGCACCTGGTGGGTCACCCGGCAGCTGGCCATCTGTCCAGGGCACTCACCTCGACCCCCAGAGTGTGCTAGGAGACCTCCCGCCTGGCCCCCAGCAGTCTCAGGTCCACCCATCGTTGCCTCCCTTGCATTCCCTGAGGTCACGGCTGTTTCTTGTCTGACTTTCTTGTGAGACTGTGAGCTCCTTGGGGACAAGATTCAGGCTCTGCCATCCCAGCAAGCTGCTCAGGGCAGCCAGAGGTAGGCATCATCACTGATAAACGGGTGAATGAGACAGCAGCTTCATCCTCACCGCAGCCACACAGTGGAGGTCAGCCTTGCACAGCCAATTAGCTGCAGCTTGAATCCAGGTCTGTAAAATGAATCTAACAGCGTGGGTCTTCCTGGTCTGTGATGAGGCTGGAGCAGGAGCCTGACGGGCTCATCTGCGTGGAGTCCACGGGGGAGAGGGACTGCAGGCGCTGGGGGAAGCCCATGGTGGAGCGTGGGCGTCACTCCTGTTCTTGGCTGAGGGATGGTTGCCTGCTGGTGTCTGCTGTGTGGTGACTCACTGTACTTAGCAGGACACGTGTGTTTCATGCATAAGAAAGATGTGGGGGAAGAAAGAAGTTGAGTGCTTCTCATGTGCTAGGATTCCCATTGTTCACTGAAATTGTTTTGCACGCTTCTGTATTTACAGATTCATTTTAGGAAGTAGAATGAATCCCTCCCTGTGATTATAGCTACAAAATGGTTTGAAGTGTGCTGGGTGATGTTGGACTTACTACTGTTACTTTAGACTTCATGTTTTGAATGTTTTTCTTCGTATTGTTCTTAGGAATTAGGGTTCTCCAAAGAAAGAGAATCAATAGAATAGTTAGATAGACAGAGAGACAGGGAGCACATATGCAATTTTAAGAAATTCTCTGGCATGAGCGTGTGGTCTGGCAAGCCCAAAGTTTGTAGTGCAGGTTGGCAGGCTGGGAGTTCAGGCAAGAGCCGATGTGGCAGTGTTGAGGACAGATTCCACAGGGAGCAGGCTGGCAGCCCAGGCAGAGTTTGTGTTGCAGCCTGGAAGGGAATTCCTGCTGCTTGGGGGAACCTCAGTGTTTGCACTTCAGGCCTTTAATCCATGTGAAGTTTAACACCCCTCCTTGACATAAACACACAGGAGTGTCCCAGCAGTGATATTTTCACTGGCATTATGGCAAATGTGTACCTGGATTTGAGCAGCCTCTGTGAGCCTCAGGCTCTTCATCCCATTCAGGGTTCTCCCCGGCATCAGCCTGTATGGGGCCCAGGCCCTGCTGGGGGATTGAGCCCAGCCCTCAGCACAGCTGTTACCCTCCAGGGGTGGCCGACAGCCCCTGAGCACTTCCCTGGAGGTGTAGCAGGATCTGTCGACCCCCCACTGCCTGGCTGCGAGCTCCTGGAGGGCAGGGACTTGTGTCCTTCACATCAGGCCTCCAGGACCCATTCGAGGCAGGGTAAGACAGGGAGAAGGGGTGGGTGGGGATGGACAGCTGTTTCTCGCACACCATGCAGGGATCAGCAGGAAGGGATGGCAGGGCAGGGCCATGGGTCGGCTCAGGGCACACACTTCCTCTCAGGCTGGTTCAAGATGTAAACGCAAAAGCAAAAAGCTTTATAAAAAGATTAAAAATACTCATACATTTTTATCTGATCTCAGAGTGAGGAAAGGGGGATCCATTCTTCCCCCGCCCCCCTTTTTTTTGAGATGGAATTTTGCTCTTGTTGCCCAGGCTGGAGTGCAGTGGTGTGATCTCGGCTCACTGCAACCTCCACCTCCCGGGTTCAAACAATTCTCCTGTCTCAGCCTCCCCGAGTAGCTGAGATTACAGGGGCCCACCACCACACCCAGCTAATTTCTGTATTTTTAGTAGAGACGGGGTTTCATCATATTGGTCAGGCTGGTCTTGAACTCCTGACCTCAGGTGATCCGCCCGCCTTGGCCTGCCAAAGTGCTGGGATTACAGGTGTGAGCCACCATGCCCAGCCGCATTCTCCCCTTTTACCTTTTACTAATTGAACCCTTCTGGATTTCAGTTGGGCACTTAGCTAAAGACTACATTTCCCAGCCTCCCTTGCAGCTCAGCCCGGTCACATGATGTGGTTCTGACCAGTGAGCATGAGATGTGCAGCGGGCAACATCTGGATAGATCTTTGACTTATCAGGAAGTTGGGTGACCCTCAAACTCTCCTTCTTGGCTGCCTGGAATGGGGCTGTGATGGTCAGGTGAGGACAATTTAGTTACAGCAAAGCAGAGCCTCGGATAGAAGGAGCCAGGTCCCTGGTGACCTGGGGCAGAGCTGTCCTACCTCCTGGATGGTTTACCAGCTTCACTCATTTATTTGTTTGTGAGAAACAAACAAAACTTTCTGTCTTGTGTAAGCTACCATGACTTGGCTTCCATTTAAGAAATAGAGTCAATACCCTAATACAGGAGGCTCTTGTAAACTGGGCCAGTCAGAATCTGTGTTTGGCTGCTGACAGGGCACTGACCACAGTGGGAGGTGGGCAGCCCAGGGCTAGTGTGGCCAGGAACCCAGGGACTCCTTCTATCTTGCTTTTTTTTTTTTGGCCATCCTTAGTGGATAAGTTTCATCCTCCAGGTCACAGAATGGCTGCTGAAGCACCAGCTCTCACATTCCTGTTTTATTCAGGAATAAGGGGAAGGGCAAGAGGCAAAGGTGGGCCTCCTCTCAGCTTTTAGAGATAGCCCAGAAGCCTCTTTCACTGATTTCTGCTTTCGTTTCTCTGGCTACCCCTATCTTCAAAGAGTTTTGTTGCTAAAGCAGAGGGGACAGTATTTATTGGGAGGCAACTTGGAAGCCCTGCACAGAGGGGAAAATTCACAAAAGAGAATGCTGTCAGTTTTGGCCACAAAGCACCAAAACCAGGACTTGTAAAGCCCTTCAGCTGCACCAGTGACCTGGTTCTTCCCCAGCCCCGGAGGCTGACTCCCGTGAGCTCAGACACAGGGGTGGGATGCGTCCAGTTCCCCACACCCAGGCCCCGCGTGTGCAGCCTCCTGTGAGGCAGCGTGGTGCAGAGCAGGGAGCCCGGGCATTGGAGTCAGGCCGACCTGGAGGAAGTCTCAGCCCCCTGTTTCCTGGCTGTGTGGCTTTGTCCAAGGCTTCCGACCTCTCTGATCTACCACTTCCTCATCTGTCCTAGGTGCTCAAAAAATGATAGCCAAGGTCGTTACAGCTGCTCCGTGACAAAGTGCAGTGGAGCAGATGCAGGGCGTGAGGGCCTGGGTTTCAGGCGGCTCCAGCAGGTTCGACACCTCCCTGCAGCCGCGTTCACTGGATGTCTGCCTTGCTGGCTGAGCCCATCTGTTATTTTTATTACAAATTGCCACTAAATTGGCTTCACCCAAGGTCTGTTACCCAAAATAACATGAGTGATTGCCCATTGAATGCAGGGTCAATACTCATCACGCTCTCCTTGCCCACAGCCCCTTGGAGCCAGAGCCGGGGCTTGGAAGGGTCAGGAGAGGTGGAGACCCTGGATTGCACTCCCACTGCAGTGTCTAGGGACGAGAGGGGCTGCCTGCCCGGGAACCAGCTTGAGCCCTTTATGGTTTTCTGTTGGTGCCTCCTTGACACAGGACGCAGGTTCGAGGCCCTCCCATCTCTGCCTGGAGCTGTCTCCAGCCCGCTGCCTGGCCTCGGGGCATGAGCGGAGGAAAGTGTGTCCCCACAGTGCCCAGGCCTGGGCTGCTGGTGGGAATGATGGTCTTTCCAGGATGTCAGGGAAGCCCACCCCACTGGGAAGCAGGAGGAAGAGTCCTTGGACTTGGGGGTTAGACTTCAGGCTCCTGTTTTATGATGGAGAAATGGAGGCCCCGAGAGGCCCAGTGACTGGCCCACAGGCCCATGGCAGATTCATGCCTGAGACGACCGTGGGTCCCAGGCCTCCTCTTTCCCTTCGGGGGCATCCTGGCCTCAGGCCCGCAGAGCCTCTGGTGATCCGTGAGTGGGCCTCAGGGGGTCTTGTATCCAACTGATGTGTCTGTGCTTGTTCTACAGAGGGCCCTTGGATGGCATCAGAGCTTACAAGGTGCCCCGACCGGTGATGAACCATGAGACCTCCTAGGAGTAATGTGCTGGCTGCCTTCGCTTCTCAGCTGCCCCTTGGGGTGCATTGTACACCCGCGGGAGCCATGGAGGGAAGCTGTGAGAATGCCCACCTCTGCATCCTGTCCTGTCGAGGGCCTGGGTCTCTCCCAAGCTGGATCTAGGCCATCCCTGAGCACAGCCTGTGGGAAAGAAAGCCTGGGATGGGAGTGGGGGCCATTCGTAGGCCTTCTGTTCTGCCACGAAGACCCGAACCCTCTTCAGATCCCAGCCTGTCCTTCCTGTGTTGTAAGGCCCCAAACCAAAGGGGGCCCTCAGGCTTGAGTCAGACACACGGGGTCTGGTCTCCCTGCTCAGTAACGACGGCTGCTTGGGCAGCTGGCTAAGGTGCTCCAAGCCTCTGTTTTTGTGTTTGCAAATGGGAATGCCGTTCAGAATTCCAGAAGCCTGGAGAGTGTCTGCCAGGGCCCCGTGCTAGGCACGAAGACCCAGAAATGGATTCCAGACTCCCTGCCCTGGGGGAGCCCAGTCCGGCCAAGGGGGCAGCTGTGTCTGGAGAGGCAGTGTACTCTCTGGGGCACCCAGCACATGTGGGCACTGTCCTGGAGACCAGGATTCCAGACAACACTGGCGGCAACAGTCCCAGCCTCTCAGGAGCCTGGGTCCAGCAGGAGAGATGCCGGATCCAGACCAGGAGCGAAGACCGAGTCGCAGGGCTGGGTGAGTGGAGTGGTGACGCCCACCCGCGGGGAAGGGCAGGCGCTAACACTGGTGTTCCAGGGAGGCGGAGGGGCAGATAGCCAGAAGAATATTCTGAACTGAAGGGATGGTGTGAACACAGGTAGGAGGTGGGATGGGGTGTGGTGGAGGCGATTGTGGGCAAGTCATGTGTTGTGGGGTGAGGTGCGGATGCTGTGGGAGCCTGAGAGGCCTGGAGTCCAGGGAGCTGGCCAGGGAGGGCAGCAGAGGCTAGGCCTGGAGGAGGGCGCAGTCTGCCCCCCAGCCAGGAGCCTGGGCTTAATCCTGCAGCCCGAGGTCAGGGTAAGGGACAGTGCTTGGAGGGGCCACAATGAGCTTCAGCAGGGCCAGTGGAGACCGGGGCGGTGGGGATGGAGACAACACCTCCAGGAACCCCACCGGAAGGGGTCGGGGCAGAGCTGACCACCCCAAGGTGGTGCCTGGGACTCCCACACTGTGCAGAGGCTCCCCACAGGCAGGCGGGCACGGGCAGAGGTCGGCTCTGAGGGGCAAAGATGTGAGGGTCAGGTGCTGGGCTGAACCTGGGTTTCCGGGAACCCCCATCTGTTTCCCAGCGGTCTGCAACCTGGGCTCTTCCACTCCTTACCCAGCCCCAGCCAGCACCCTGTCTACCTTCACTCATTCAGTCAACAGACTCACCGTGTGCCTATCAGGTGCCAGGCTTGCCACGTGAGACACTCTTCGGCACATGGGTGGGCTGAGGGGGGTTGTGGGGCTGTGGGAGAAGGAGGCCCAGAGAAACCAACACCCACAGGGTTTGGGACACACCCTTGGCCACTTCCTTTGTCACCTGCCCACCTGTGTCCCTCCCATCGGGCCCCCCTGACAGGAAGCAAGGGCAGAGAACCCTCATCTGAAGACTCCGGGCTGAGGGTGGAGTTAAATGACAAATGGCAGACCACACCCGATGCCCGGAGGGGCTGTTCCAGCTCAGAGACCTCCTGTGAGGGTCCCCATTTCTTCCTGCCCTACCCAGCAAGGGCAGAGGATTGGAAGAGAGGGAGAAAAACCCCTGGGGTTGCATCCACATGGGCCTGATGACAGTTGAAGACCGCACGCTGGGGCCGGGGGGACCCCAGGAGAGCTGCCCTGCGTGTGTCTCCGTGAGTGTCCTGGGGCTGCCGGGACCAAGGGCCACAGGCAATGGGCTTCAGACAATTGAAATGTTTTATCTTGCAGTTCTGGGGACCACAAGTCTGAGCCCCAGGCGTCGGTCGGGCTGTGCCCCTCCAGAGGCTCTAGAGGAGAGCCCTTCCTGCCCCCTCCAGCTTCTGATGGCATCTGGCAATCTGTGGCTCAAGGCCACGTGGTGCCAGCTGAGTGCCCGCCTTCTCCTTGGCTTCACGCTGCCCTGCCTCTAGTGAGTCTGTGTCCAAAGTTCTCTTTGTCCTCACACACCACTCAGCTTGGGGTAGGGCCCTGCCTGCATTTCAGCTTGCTTACCTCAGGAAGACCCTATTTCCAAATAAACTCCCGTTCTGGGGTGCTGCCGGTCAGGACCTCCCCATACACATTTGGGAGGACACAGTTCAGCTCATGACAGCTGCCATGGTTGGACCCGTCTCACAACCTCATGAAAAGGCTTCATCCCACACTTCATACCCCCGTTTCACAGATGGGAAAATCGAGGCTCTGAGAGAAGACGTCCACGATGGAGCAGCGGGCAGGGGGAGGAGGCCCACCCCCCTCAGCCGGGTCTCCACCCCCACGATGCTGCACTCTGTTCAGAGAGGAGGAATTGCTCCTGCGGTAACGTGAGCTGGACAGGTTACCCTCTGCTGGATACAGCCCACCTTTTCACAGAGGGAACATTTTTCTCTTTGTAGTTGGAAGGTGAGGCTTTGAGCACGGTGCACAGATGGCCAAGTGTCAGGGACTCCAGGCCCTTCCCTTGGGCAGCAGCCTGTGGTCTTCACCAACCAGGAAAAGCCCTTATGATGTCTCCTTGCTACTTGCCCTGGGGTAATCTTCTGACCCAGGTTGGGTGTCAGGCATGTTGGCATCTTGCTTGGTTCTAGTGGCCTGCAGATCTGTGTTCTTGCAAGGCATATCTGAAAAAAGGGGGATGGGGGAGCCTGGTTTAGGTTGGTCTACAGCAGCCGGCACCTCCAAGCATGCCTGGAGCAAGTGCCAAGTTATGGGCCCAGCTCCATCCACATGCTGTGTGACCCAGGCAACTTACTTGCCTTCTCTGGCCTCAGGTTTCCTATTTGTAAAACAAGGGGATTGAACTAGGGCATTCCAAGTACTCTGCCTAGATGAGTAAAAAACAATCATAAAATTTCCGCAAACTCTTTATTTCCATTTTATCAAAATATCATAGGCTTCAAGGTGGCATTGTCCAATAGAAGCTATGACTGTGAACCACATATGTGATATAAATTTTCTAGTAGCTACATTAAAGAACAAACAGTTGCAAATAAATGATAATTTCATCCAACATGTTCAAAATTACCATTTCAGTATGCAATCAATATAAAAATATTGAGTTGCTTTACATGTTTCGGACTCTCTTTGGAGAGCACAAAAGTATGCATTTTTTACTTACAGCACATCTCCATTCAGATGCCGAAGTTTTATTGGAAATACTTGATCTGAATTTAGCTATCATAAGATTTACAGTTGAAAAAGCAGATTCTCAGACCCAAGTTGTTCCAAACATACTTCAGTGTTGTCCAATAACTGAATCGAGTGTCGAGTTTTAGATTCAAAATTCGGTTCGCTGAGCTCAGATGTCACCCTGGACCTGGCGCTCCAGGGAGTCGGAGCCTGTTCCAGTTACCGTAAAGCCTGGAGTATAGGGGGCTCGTTGATTCCAGTTCAACTTAATCCACTGGCTCTCAGCTCAGGTCCTCTCCAGAGCCACTCCAGCCAACCCCGAGGTTCTTCTTGTCCTTCCCATTCCCCTGTTTCTGAATCCTGTTTCTTTATTCTTGTGTCCAGAAAGCAATTACAGAGTACCAACTGTATGCAGGATATAATGAAGGAGGCAGTATAGTCAAGGCAGGCCTCATATACTGGAAAGACCACAGCTCCAGGTTCAAATCTGGGCACTGCTAGCTCCACGGGAGGCTGTTTCCACATCTGTGACCTGGGAGCCCTTGGCCCTGAGCAGAAGCATCTCTGTGGGGACAGAAGGGGGTGGTTTGCACGTGTCCAGTGTCTGGCCGATGTTCCTTCAGGTCCGCCTGCTCTCGGGACAGGAGTTGTGCCCGGCCCAGCATCTTCCGAAGAGCAGGGCTCAGTGGCTTCCGTCTGTTGGCGGCATCCCGTTACAGAAATAGCTCTTTGCAGATGTGGCTTCACCGTGAACAGCATTTCTCAAACCACGTTCCCAGAAACATCTTGCTCCTCCTGGTGTGAACCAGGAATTCTTAAGTCAAAGATATTCTCAGGAGACATCAGATCACTTAGTGGCTTTTTAAATTAAATTAAATTATTATTTTTTTTAATTTTTAAAGACAGAGTCTTGCTACGTTACTCAGGCTGGACTGGAGCTCCTGGGCTCAACCCTCCCCACTCAGCCTCCCAAGTAGCTGGGATTACAGGCATCCCTCACCACGCCCGGCTCAATGGCTTTGTACTTTTATTTGTAGACTTTCTTAGAGCCCTTGATGTGGCAATGCAAATGGTCAGGGAATTCCCACTTTGCCACTGTGTCAGCAGCCCTGGGCCTGGCACTTTGAGACAGGAGCTGAGTCATAGTCATTTCCGTGTCCCATGTCACTTTTGCACACAGGGAACCCCTAGCTGGCACCCTGCCCTCAGGGGGTGCCTGACAGTGGCCACTGATTAAAATGTGGGCTAAAAAGAAGCACTAAAACAACAACATGCTGGAGATCAGGGGAAGGGCCAATTATTTTCAGAGGATCCAGGAAGACTGCCTGTAGGAGGAGACATTGGAACTGAGCATGAAGGATGAGCCTAGAGACCAGGGTAAGGGGTTCTGGGTACATGAAAGGGGCGTTCACAAGCCCAGTAGGAGCTCCGTGTATGGTTCAATGCCTGGTGGGGTAAGGGGTGAGAGGTTTGGGGTGTGGGGTGTTTGCAGGGGAGTGTGAGAGGTGGAAGAGGCAGGAGGCCTGCTCAGGACTCATGGGGTTGCAGGTGGCACTTCACCCTATGGTCAGTGCCACTCGCCCCAGGGCCACTGCATTGGAATCCCAGGGGAGCCTGTTACACCTGGGTTCCCAGCTTGGTCCTACTTCACCAGTTTCTGGGAGTGGGAACCCCCATGTTGACAAGTTCCCGGGGAGTCCTAGGTCCCTGTAGTTTGGAGACCACTCTGTGAGCCAGGTTTGGGTTTTGAGCCATGTGGCTGGCAGTGGAGCATCCAGGATTAGCTGACACCTTGTGCAGACATGACTAGTGCTCCCAATACCTGGTTTTTCTCCCCTGCAGGCACACAGAAGATTACACCTCAGCCTGTGCAGTGTGGAGAGGGGCAGGTGACCAGAGCTGATAAATACAAAGTGAACAGAAGTGACAGTGGGAGCCTCTGGATGGCGGAGGAGGCCGCAGGGACTGGATGGTGCAGCCACAACACGGTGGAGCCTTTGTCAGCCTGGACCCCCGAGTGACCGCGTGGAGCAGTGTTCCCACAGGGGGCACTCAGTGTGAGCAAGAAATAAACCTTAGTGTGTGCACCCACCTGGATTTTGTTTGTCACTGTCGTGTAACTTAGCCTATTATGATGAATGCACATTCATTCCCTTGTTTAACCCTGGGGGCACACTGTTAAATGTTTGTGGACACAAATTTTGAGCACTTAAAATAGATCACATTCCCTTCCCTTTTCCCCTCTCTCTCCTTCCCTTCTCTCCCTCCTGGGTGGCAGCCAGCCTCTCTACCATCTTTGTGGAAATTAGGAAAAGACTTGCCCTCCAGCTCGATGCAGTTTTGGGCTGTTCAGCTTGATGAGCAGTGAGCAGAGAGTGAGCTGAATTTCAGCCTTGACCCGCTCCCTTGGCCAGGCACTTTTGAGCAGTGCACAACCCATACAACAGTCCAGGGTGACCCAGTTATTCATCCATCCCCAAACTGGGTGTAGAGTGAGTACCAGGCCCTGAGTTGGGCTTTGCAGGTTCAGAGAGCATAGGACGCTCTGTGTGCCTCAAGGAGCTCACTTTGGGGGAAGCAGACAGGACATAGAATAGCTTTCATTCTGGTCAGCATTGAGGGAGGGATCTCAGGGAGCCTCTGACCAGAGAAGGCACAGAAGCTGTGGGAAGCTCCTCAGCAGCACGGCGGGGGCAGCGCACACTGCGAGAGGCAGGCTGTTCAATATCTGACGTGTGGAAGCTTCAGCAGGCAGATGGGAGGGGTGAGGCAAGGAGAATAATAACGATAAATCATAGCTAGAACCTTCTGGACTCTTCTTTGCTAAGAGGAGCTAAGCAGCATTTGCTGCTGCCTAGGGGTCGTTACTTTTGGATTCGTCCAGGGGAACGCTGTGGGGTTGGGGTCTTGGCCTCAGAAGGCCCTTTCTCTCCAGCCATCTCCCCACCTGCTGTGCCCATCTGTCCTTGGCATCATAAGGATGAACATCCAGCCCAGGGCGTGGGGCAGCCGGGAGCACCCTGCACAGCCAGCCCAGGCACAACACGGCAGGGACTCCTCAGCAGCGCAGACTCACCTCCATCCTCCACATGTCCCAGTTGGGAAAAAATTCTTCCATTGATCCACCAACATTTACTGGGGGCTTCTTTTTTAATAACAGTTTTATTGAGATATAATTCACATACTGTAGAATTCAGCCTTTTAATTGTACAATTCAGTGTTTTTTTAAGCATATTCATAGGATTGGGGTGTAACCACCACCCCAATTTTAAATTTTAGGATCTAATTTTAGAGCATCTTCTTTTTCTTTTTTCTTTCTTTCCTTCCTTCCCTCCGTCCCTCCCTTCCTTCCTTCCTTTCTTTTCTTTCTTTCATCTTTCTGCTTTCAGATGGAGTATCGCTCGCCCTGCCACCCAGGCTGGAATGCAGTGTTGCAATCTAGGCTCACCGCAACCTCCACCTCCCTGGTTCAAGCGATTGTCCTGCCTCAGCCTCCCAAGTAGCTGGAATTACAGGCATCTGCTGGCAGTCCACTAATTTTTTGTTTGTTTTTTATTAAAGACAGGGTTTCACCATGTTGGCCAGGCTGGTCTCAAACTCCTGACCTCAAGAGATCTGCCTGCCTTGGCCTCCCAAAGTGCTGGGATTACAGGCATGAGCCACTGCACCCGGCCTCTTTTGTTTTCTTTTTTGAGGAAGGATCTTGCCTTATCACCAGGCTGGAGTGCAGTGATGTAATCTCGGCTCACTGCAGCCTTGACCTCCTGGGCTCAAGCAATTCTCCTGAGTAACTGGGACTACAGGCACACATCACTATGTTCAGCTAATTTTATTTAATTTTTTAGATATGGGGGTCTTGCTATGTTGTCCAGGCTGGTCTTGAACTCCTGGACTCAAGAGATCCTCCCACCTCAGCCTCCCAAAGTGGTGGGATTACAGGCATGAGCCACTGCACTGGGCTTAGAACACTTTCATTACCCCTCAAAGAAACCCCATGCCCTTTAGCAGTCACCCACCTTTTCTCCCTACTCCCAGCCCTGGCAACCACTAATCTACTTATATCTCTATGGATTTGCCTATTTTGGACACTTACGTAAATGGAATCACGTTTGTGGCCTTTCGTGTCTGGCTTCTATCACTTTGTGTAATGTTTTCAAGGTATGTAACAGGATTTCATTCTTTTTTATGGCCAAATAATATTTTGCTGTATGGATAGACCTCTTTGTCCATTCATCAGTGGATGGACATTTGGGTTATTTCCACTTTTTTGGCTATTATGAATGGTGCTGCCATGTACACGCATGCACATCTTTTTAAGATGGTGATGTTCTCAGTGCCCTTGGGCACATACCTAGGAGCGGAATTGCTGACTTATGTCATAACACTCTGTTTTTGAGGAGCTGCCTGACGATTTTCCAAAGTGGCTGCACCATTCTACTTTCAGCAGTGTGTGAGGGTTCCCATTTCTCCACATCTTCACCAGCATTTGCTATTATCTGCCTTTTTTTTTATTCCAGCTGTGATGCTGGGTGTGAAGTGGTATCTAATTGTGGTTTGATTTGCATTTCCCTAATGACTAATGATACTGAGTATCTTTCCATCTATTTATCTGCCATTTTTATATCCTTTTTAGAGACATGACTATGTGAATCCTTGGGCTATTTTTAAATTGACTTATTTGTCCTTTTATTGTTGGGTTGTCAGAGTTCTTTATATATTCTGGATACAGGTTCTGAATGATATATATGTGTTGCAAATATTTTCTCCCATTCTTTGTGTCATCTTTTTACTTTTTGGATGGAGTGCTTGGAAGTAAAAAGCTTTACACTAATTTACGTTAATTTTCAGGCAATTAATAACAATGGTGACTGTCCCATGCCAGAGTAGTGTATATATTGGCCCATTTAAGCTGCACATCAACCTATGAAGTCAGGACTCCCATTGTCCCCAGGCCATAGTTGAGGAAACAGAGGAATGGAGAGATCAAGTAAGAGGCTCCAGACAGTGAACCTAATATAGACAGAGGCAGGGCCTGGACCTGGCATCTGGTTCCGAGCTCTGGCTCTTCACCACCATGCCATCGGGGCTCTGCATTGAAGCCTTCACCATTCAGAGGAGACAGGAAGGTGGGCTTGTAGTTGTACCAAGAAGCATTATTGCCTCTTGCAAGCATCAGAGATCTTCAAGGGAGGGATAGTTCTCTTCCAGGAGTGGGGCATCAGAGGATGGGCTCCCAGGCTCTCAGCAAACAACAATGTTGCTGGGCCTCACTACATCCTGGCTGCTCGTGTATGGCTCTCATTCCCTCATTAAAGAGGCCATTTGCCCCACCACCATCATCTCTACCACATCATCATCACCGTCATCATCACCAGCACCATCATTACCACCACTATTACCACCACCACCATCATCACCATCATAATCACCATCACCATCATCACCACCATAATCACCATCACCATCACCACCATCATCACCATCACCATCATCACCACCATAATCATCATCACCACCACCATAATCACCATCACCATCATCACCACCATAATCACCATCACCACCATCATCACCATCATCATCATCATCATCATCATCATCATCATCATCATCATCATCATCATCATCATCATCATCACCATCATCATCATCATCATCATCATCATCATCATCATCATCATCATCATCATCATCATCATCATCATCATCATCATCATCATCATCACCATCATCATCATCATCATCACCATCATCACCACCATCATCATCATCATCATCATCATGACCATCACCATCAACACCACCATAATCGCCATCACCACCATCATAGTCACCATCACCATCATCACAACCATCATCACCATCAACACCACCATAATCGCCATCACCAGCACATCACCATCACCACCACCATTATCACCATCACCATCACCATCACCATCATCACCACCATAATCACCATAATCACCATCACCAGCACATCACCATCATCACCACCACCACCATCACCATCATCATCATCATTAACATATCACCATCACCACTGTCATTACCATCACCACTGTCACCACCATCAACATCACTACCACCATCACCACCATCAACATCACTACCATCACCACCATCAACATCACTACCACCATCACCACCATCAGCACCACCACATCACCATCACCATCACCACCACAGTATCACTATCATCACCATAATCACCATCAGCATAATCAGCATCACCACCACTAACATCATCATCATCACCACCATCGCCATCATCATCACCACCATCACCATTATCATCAACACTACCATCACCATCACCATCATCACTGTCATCACCGTCACCACTGTCATCACCATCTTCATCATCATCATCATCATTTCCATCATCATCACCACCTCCATCATCACCATCACCACCATCACAATCATCACTGTGGTGGCACTGAGAAGGTGTACTGAGCCCCTCACTTGGGGCCCGGCCCAGAGCTCTGTGCTTTACATCTGTCACCTAATTTAGTCATCCCAGCTGCCCTACAAACTGGGTCTGAGGCTCAAAAAGGAACAGTCACTTACCCCCCAACCCCATAGCACCTGTTGAACCTGACCTTTGCTCTTAACCAAGTCCTGCCCATCCATCTTACAGATATGTGAATGGAGGACCTGGTATTAGGGACTGAGGGAAGGTGAGGGGAGGTGGGTACTGGAGTAAAATCCTGGCCAAAGTGGAGGGCTGGCCAAGCGGTCCCCAGACTGTGGCCTCCAGGAAAAGATGCTTCAGCAAGCCCTGAGAGAGGGAGGCTAGAGGCTGGGCTCCCAGGCGTGAAGCCATTCTGGACAAGGGCAAGGGTTGGGGGACCACGGCCAGCACTATCAATTAGTGCAATTAGGCGTCAGGACGGAGGCCTGGGCGCTAATTGCCTGGTGACCAGCCGAGGTGCTCAATAATGGATTAGCTGAGTGCTGTGGCCACAGCAGAGTATGGCCTTCACCTCCTGGGGTCAAGGCCAAGTGCTCCAGGGATGCTTCCTCTCCTGGGCGCAGCCCAGACCTCCGCAGCTATGCACCGCCCCTCCCTTGCCTCTGCCCTTTCCCCAGGACTGAGAAAAGCCAACCCAGGTGGGCAAATACTGTGGTCACAAGCGTCCTGAGGTCCCTCATCCAGGCCCTGGCGGGGAGGCCTCTCCCTCTGCCGAGACCCCCACCTCTCACACGTGGGCTGTCTGGGGATTTCAGCCCCCTCTCTCCAGGAAGCACTGGGTCAAGCACCATCTACAGAGGGGGACACCCTCTCCTGGCATCTTGGTCCCCCTCTGTAGATGGGGGGCCACTTGCCTACCTTGCCTCCCTGCTGGGATAAGAGGGGTCCATGTTCCTGAAAGCTCCTTGCAAGAGCTGCCACCTGGGGCGGCTCAGCCCCGCTGGTGGAATTGGATAGTGCAGTCCCAGCCACCCAGAATGGTTCCTGTCTCTTCACCCTTCCTCACATACCTGACTGGGCCAGGTGGAAGACAAGGGGGTGGGGCTGGTCTCTAGGGACCTGGAAGCTGGGCCAGGCACGGGACTTTCTCCTGAGGGCAAGGGGGAGTCACTGAAGGGCTCTGAGCAGGGTGCTTTGGGCCCCTTTTGCATTGTAGAACAGTCCCTTGTGGGGGCTGTGAAGAGGGGCTGCAAAGGGGATGGGGCAAGAGCCAGGGTGGAAGGGCCTGTCCCGAGCCAAGCCGGGTGTGGGGAGGAGGCACAGATGTGCTGGACCTTGGGTGACAGTAGGTGAGCCCTTGGGACTGGCTTGAGGGAAGAGGCTCTCTTCACTCTTCACTCACTCTTAAGTTTCAGCTGTTGGCCCCCTCCTCCAGGAATCATCCTGCTCTGCCCCTGGGGCCTCATAACATCACCTTCTTTGTCCCCACCCTCGTCACTCTCTGACCCCATCTCCTGCTCTGGGCTGCAGGCCTCATGTTTCATACCCCCCACCCCGCCCCGGGCAGGCTCGACTCCTCTCTCTGTCTTCCTGGGCACAGAGGAAGTTCCCATGCAACCCTGGCAGGGCTGACCTTCCCAAGGTGCCCAATTGCGCCCATCTGAGTTCCACTGCCTCATGCAGCAGCTCTGGGCAGCTGAGGCACAGGATTGTTGTTATTGTTTTAAATTTAATTAATGAACTTTACTTTTAGAGCAGTTTTAGGCTCACAGAAATATTGAGCAAAAAGCACAAAGAGTTCCCATATTCCCATATCCCCATATTCCAAAATCCCCATATCCCCATATTCCAAAATCCCCATATCCCCATATCCACATAGTCCCATCTTCCCACACCCCCATATCCCCATATTCCAGTATCACCATATCACTGTGTAGCCTTTTCAGATGGGCTTCTTTCACTTTGTGACATGAACTTAGGGACTCTTCATGGCTTTTCATGGCAGAATAGCTCGTTCCTTTTGAGTGCTGAATCATATTCCATGGTCTGTACCACAATTTATGTATCCATTTGCCTACTGAAGGACACCTTGGTGGCTTCCGGTTTCTGGTGACCATGAATAAAGCTGCTATAAATGTCATGTGCAGGTTTTTGGGTGGCTGTAAGTTTTTAATTCATTTGAGTAAATATCAAAGAGCGCAATCGCTGGATTAGATTTTAATTACATTTAGTTTTGCAGGAAGTTGCCAAACTGCCTTCCAGAGCAGCTGTGCCAATCTCTCCAGGCACTCCTCCTGAGTGATCCCGCAGTGGGGCAGGGTGCTGGCTGAGGGCTGCTGGGAGGGGGTGTCCATTTCCTTAGCACCCCCTCAGACAAAGAGACGTGGACAATGTGGAGGGGAAATTAGGAACCGCAGGGCAGGGCCGGACAACGTGGGTGATGGGGGTGCTGCTTTATAGGGGTCAGGGCAGTAACGCATAGAGGTGCTAAGCAGGGCAGGCTGCCACCGACGACCACGGGTAGACGATGTCATGGAGGACGTCCTCTATGGCTGCGTGTCCCTCAGGCTGCTGCACGGGCTGGGGTCTTCCTCGCTAGTCCTCGCCGGCATCCCCCCGGCCTTTCCCGTCCCGCATGAGGAGCAGGCCTGGCTGTGAGATTGGAGGGCATACAGGGCCATCGTGGACATGGCAGCGGCTCTAGTGTTCAGGTCCTCAGAGCCTGATGAAATGCCACAAGTCAGCATGCCTCCAACCCTCCAGTGCCCGGGATCCTGCTGGGCCCGTGATAACGCCGATTCGGAACCTGTGCTAGGGCCTGAAACTGCATTCTAACAAGCTCCCAGGTGATATCAGGCAGCTGGCCCAGCGACCACACTCTGAGAAGCCAGGCGTGAGCTCTAGACAGCCATGCACACATTCTGAAATGTCACCCAGATTCTGAAATGTCACCCAGATTCTGAAATGTCACCCAGAAACCTTCCGGAAGCAGCTTTGAGAAAAAGGATTGGCTTCTCTTTCTGGCTCCAGAACTGATTGGCTGTGTGATGCTGGGACAGTCATGGCCCTCTCTGCTCTGGAGTGTCTTCAGAGATAAAACAAAGCCTGGGACCAAGCCGTAGCAATTCTATAATCTGAGTGCCACCTTCTGTTTATGGAGTGCCTCAGGTATCAAACAGCATTGATTCATGACCAGAAATCTAGAAAACATCACCCCCATTTCACAGGTGAGAAAACTGAGGCTCTGACAGTGTCTCGGCAGGGAAGTTACTGCCCAGCTTTTCGGCGGCAGGGGCCAGCCTTGAACTCGAGTTGGCTAGCTGCAAAGCCCTTGTTTTTTCTCCATCAAGCTGTCTCCTGTTTTACTTGAAGAATAAAATAAAACTTTCTCACAATGAGAGATGAGACGTGAAAAGGGTTTGAATTTCTCAATCCAGAGAACAATCATTGCTTAGGCAAAGGCATTTGTGGTCCTTTCGATTTCCTCTAAAATAGTTTTTGCAAGTTGATGAAAAAGGTTTGTTCTCTGTAGTCTAAGGAAGTGAGTCAGTAAACAATAAAATCGGCATTCTCATAATTAGCTCTTAAACTGTTCCTCCGTATGAAAGTTTCCCCCAGTCCAAGCTCCATGTTGCTTCTTGCACATTCTTACTATACAAATCTGAACAATTTTTGACAAGATTTTTGAGTTTTGTCAGATGTGAATTGTTAAGATTTAATTGAAAAAATGAACAGAACACAGCCACTATTTCAAAGGGAGTGACCCAGAACCAATTAGAATTTAGTAACAATTGACCATTCACCACTGAAATCCATGTTGAGAATCAGATTAAAGCCACTTTAATTCCCCCCCTTGTTCCTGAACTCAAAATATCATTAGTGGGAGATTTCCCTGAATTTTTTTCCAATCAATTTTCCTGGTTTTAAAGGTGAAGTTCAACTGGGGGGACTGTGCTGAGGAGGGTGCCGGCTGGTGATCTCCAGGGCTGAGATGATACACAATATAGGTTACCATCTTGAAAAAACAGGTCAGGCCGAGCAACATTCCTCGTCAAATTGCTGTTGACAGCCCAAACAGGAGATGGAGGAGGGCCACAAAAAGGCCCTTTCATCTGAAGACAACACAGCGTATAATTGGTCATTCTTTCCTTGTCTGGCCTCTCCTTCTCAGCTGGGGGAAATTTCCCAAACAAAGCCAGGCCTTCCTAAGGCAACTTCTTAATCCTTTCTGGCAGATGCGCCCGGGGAAGTGTCGGCTGAGAGGACAGGGCAGGGCGCTGGCTGGGCCTGTGTGGGCACGGTGCCTGGTGCGTAGTAGGCACATAGTAGGTGCTTCTGGCCGCGGAGTCGGTGAATGGTCGGTATCAGGAGCTGTGGCATCTGGCTCGTTAGCTCTGTCTGTGGCACGAGGGCAATGGCCGAGCAGATGTGTGTGAAGCAGCTTTTCCTGATCCATCCCAGACCTCCACTGCATGACCCCATAGCAGGAGCGGAGGCCACATTCTAACAGACGAGAGCCAGAGCTTCACTTGGGCTCCAGCATCTTCCAGTCCAGCCTCATTTGTGCAATCCACGACTGCTTCCTGGGCTTTTCCGGCTCATCTCTGAAGGCCTCCTCGTCTGGCTCCAGGTCCTGGTCTGCTTCTCTGCCCAGCTCCTGACGGTCACCACTGTCTGCCGAGCACACACCAGGTGCCAAGTGCTGCGGGGGCTTTGCGTCATAGCCCTCCGGGAACCCTACAGGGAAACAGAGGCTTGGGGAGGCTGCGTGGCCTTGGACTAGACCCCCTTCCCACCCTGCAGTGCTCACAATCCCACCGCCCGTTTCCCAGCGCTGGGTCCTAGAGCTTCTAGAAGCAGGGCACTGCCCCATTCTGGGTCTAGTCCCAGGGAGTGGAAGAGCTCAAACCCAGAACCAGGCACATCCTGGACTTGATTTTTGCAGGACAAGATGAGTCACAGACACGAATGTCCAGGCCGGACTGTGCCGCGGCTGTTACCTCATTATTACTTTAATGTCACCTTGAGGAGCGCCCTGGAATTCGCTGCCTCCAACGCAGCCTTCCCATTAGCCATGTTGTCACATCCAATCCCAAACTGGTTTTGGTACATTTATTTGCATTTCCAGAAGTCGAGTAAGACCCCAAAGTGTTTTCTGAGTATCAAAGTCCAAACGCAAACAGAAACGAGCAAACAAAAACACCCCACAGGCGTTTAGAATAGGAAGTCTGGGGTGATCTTCAGGGGACCCCTGAGTATTCGCATCTCAGGCAGTTAGAATAGGAAGTCCGGGGTGATCTAGGGGACCCCTGAAGATTATTCAGATCTCAGGCTTTTAGAATAGGAAGTCCGGGGCGATCTAGGGGACCCTTAGTATTCACATCTCAGGTGTTTGGTGTCTTAGTTTGGGTCCCCAGAAGAAGACACGGAGACGAGGACTTATTTGGCAGATGATCCCAGGAAACACAGGTGGGGAATGGGGAAAGGAAGTAGTGAGTGGCTTAGAGTCAGAGGGGCTTCCACAGCGAGCACCTGGAGCTTCATCCTGTTGGGAAGATGTTGGATGCCGTGTAGAACAGGGGCCCGAGAGTTACCCCCAGTGGTGTGGGAGCTGGGGTGTTTATCCGGCTCCCACCTGCTTCCGGGTGGACGGGCCATTCATTCCCTGGGCACATCTGGCTGCCTGCCCTGCACACGGCAGAGAAGGGCCTACCCAGGCCACACAGGCCCCAGGCTGAAGGGTGCAGCTCCAGCCTGTGGGCAGTTGGGGTCACAGCAGCTGCTGCACTGGGGATGGCCTGTCTCCTGAGCATGGCAGCAGCAGCCCATTCAGGCTTTGGTTCAGAGGAGTTGGCAGACCTGGGTCTATCACAGACGGCTGTGTGGCCTTGGGTGAATCACTTGACTTTTCTGAGCCTTTCCTCACCTGTATGATGGGAATAACAGCGCTTGCCTATTAGGTTCATTATGAGGCTTCAGTGAGCCCCCCAAGGGTGTGGCATCTAGTCCCAGAAGGGCCAGTACGAAGAGCCGCACCACAGCTGTGGATGCAGTTGGGTCAGGTTCAGAAGTGCATGGGGCTATTGTCCCCACTGAGGGGCAGTTCACCGACTCTTCTGGGTACCTTGAAGTTGCTCAGAAATTAAGGGTAATTAGATAGTGCCTGAGGTGGTCCCAGGACACAGTGTGAGGTCACGGCAGAGACTGGGCTGTGACACCTGAAAGAGAGGGGATCAGACCCTGAGAACACTGTCTCTGGGAAGAGGGGCTCAAGTGCCCTGCACAGTCCTGAGGTCAGCGCTGGGGACTCCAAGGGGAAGCACCTGTTTCACATGCATTTCAGGAAGGATGTAGCCGATGGTAGAAAGAGCAGGCCATTCAGTGAAGTAGTGAGCTCTCCGTCCCTGGAGGTGTGTAAGAGGCTGGATGTTGTGTTCACTTTTCCTGGTCATGTGGGGACCTCCTGGCCCTGGATGGCAGCAGTGGTGGTGGATGGGGGTGGCTGGATAGGATGCCTTTTAAGATCTTTCCCACCCCAGAGAGTCTAGAATTCCACGTGTCTATGAGGGGCTGAGCGCTGGAAACGTGCTCCTCATTTGATGCATTGCATCTGTGGCTCCTTGAGGCACCCTAGGTAGAGTTCAGCAGCTCGGGCCTGGTCTGAATTAGTGAGAGCGACGTTGAAGGGGAGAGCCTGGCTGCAGCCTGAATGATCTGCTGAGTGGTGGCCTGGAGCCTTGATGGAAAAGGAGCCGCTAGTCCACAGAGTCCCCGGGGCCTCAGACTGGTATGAAAAGCAGAGGGGAGACTGCCCTGATGGGGGTGGGGAAAAGCTTGGGGGGCCTGTGAGTGTCTAGCCGGCAGCTCATGCTTTGGGAAGTGCCCTGGGCAGAAGCCTGTGGGAGGAGTCTCTGAGGAAAAGGAACTGCATTCATGCCCAGCCAGGGGCCACCTGCACACCTCGGCCCATCTGAGCTTCTGGGCCCGGGGCTGGGAGTTCAAGTCCTACTTCCTCCTTTATGTCATCCTGAAAGCTCCCTGAGGCTCTGGTGTTCCTCTGTGGTGAGGTGACGTGCCCCTTTCCTGGGGAGGTAGGTTGGCAACTGTGCCTGGGGATGGGATGCTTCAGGAGACATAGTGAAGACCACACGCTGCCCGGGGCTGCTTCTGCTTCTCTGGCTTGTCCTGGGAGCTCGGGACCCTTGGGCTGGGAGTCCCTGCTGGGGGGCCTCATGGTATGGTCATGTCCCGTCACCCCGTCTATTGCCTGGTTGATATTACAAAGGCTGCCTCCTGTGCAGTGCACAAAAGGAAACCACAGGGACAGATTGCAAAGGAAATCAGAGCCACTCTGCACCTGCTCCAGGCTGTTCACCCAGCCACGGCGGACCCCAAGGTGAACAAGGCAGCCTCAGCCCCTGCAGACTCCTGGCTGTGGGCTCCGGAGGGCTTCATTCATTCATTCATTCATTCACTTGCCTCCTCTGGGCTGGGCTTTGTGTTAGGCACAGTAATTGATCCCTATCGATACGATTGGTAAGTTAGGCATGCAGTAGTTGATGAGGCCTCACGATCTGAGTTTCCTGGGTCTTTATCTAATTCCTGTATCATCTACAGAGTGGATATCCTACTGCTGGGCCCTGCTTGGGTTTTAAAACCCAACAATGCGGCCGGGCGCGGTGGCTCACGCCTGTAATCCCAGCACTTTGGGAGGCCGAGGCGGGTGGATCACGAGGTCCGGAGATCAAGACCACCCTGGCTAACACGGTGGAACCCCGTCTCTACTAAAAAAAATACAAAAAAAAATTAGCCCGACGTAGTGGCGGGCGCCTGTAGTCCCAGCTACTCCGGAGGCTGAGTCAGGAGAATGGCGTGAACCCGGGAGGCGGAGCTTGCAGTGAGCTGAGATTGCGCCACTGCACTCCAGCCTGGGCGACAGAGCCAGACTCCGTCTCAAAATAAATAAATAAATAAATAAAACCCAACAATGCACTATGCACATATTTATAGCTCACTTGCCATGGCCCCATGTGATTAATTTTAGACAGCTTGACGGCTGTGCCTTGAGCTTCTCCATGCCTGGTGCTGGGCCTGGGACTTGAGGTGCAGAGGTGACTGCACCATCCTAGAGGGGCTACGAGAGGCAGAGCCTCAAGGACCAAGGCATTGAGGCCATTCCCCTTCTCTCCTCCCCTGTATAGAACTCAGATGAAGGAGCCAACACGCTCATTACAGAAAGTCACCCGTCCCAGCTAGAGGGGTCTGGGGCAGCCCCTCACACCAAGCTGACACTTGCAGACACCTGGTCAATCAAACCGTGAGATTCACATCACATGGGCTGGAATTTGGCCTCCACCACTCGCTTGTCTCATCAAGTCATTAAGCCCTCTGGGCCTCAGTGTACCCATCTGTAAGGTGGAGGTAAGAGCTTTCCCACCTGGGGTTTTTGTGAGGTTTAAATGAGGTAACTGTGCTTCTAGAAGAGTAACCTGCAGGATTATTGATGGAATTTAATTTGAGCTGTGGAAACCCAGGACACCGAGGCTGACAGAGGCGGGGCTTGGAACCCAGGTCCCCGGGCTTCCAGACTTTGTTGCACGGCCCTTGAAAACCCATACACTGGGAAGGGGTTTGCAGGACAGAGGCCTTGGTGGATTCTGCCTTCACCAGGGGCGCTCCCGTCTTCCTGGAGGACCCGGCTCGCTTAGGGCTCCTTAGGGCTAGGCGAGAGGAGTGGGGCCAGAAGAAAGGCTTGAAACTGTATCCTCCCCTGGCGTGGGGTCAGCGGATCAGACCCCCACATCTTCCCCACCATCAACACCCCCCCTAGGATTTTCTTGAAGTTAAGTTTCACATCATATGGCTGAACATTTGGAACTTTTTAAGCAGAAATGGTAGAAAAGTCTCAGAACACAATACCTTCCTGGCAGGGAGCCACATGAGAAATTTAGCAACAGGCTCGACGCCGGAGAAGAACGCGTCATAATTGTCCATCTGGATTAATCTGGCGTTCTTTACTTAACCTCACGTCAGGCTGAGTGGCTAATCAGGGCTTGGAAGACACTGTCTTTTGTAACTGTACCGAGGCTCCGGTTTCACACATCAGCTAATTTTCCTATCACATTTCCTTAATTGTAAGCTTGGTTTAATGGAGCCCCAGACAAGACTGAGCCGTAAGGAGCATGCTCATGCCCCGGCTAGGGGGTGCCAGGAATGTGTGGCTGAAACATCACAGCTCCTCACCTGTGGCTTAGTGGGCAGTGCTCAAAGAACACTACAAGGCCTCTGGAAAAATTCAATTAGCAGGGGGCCAGGGGCAGGGCATTCGTGGCGTCATGGTCAGGGTTACTGTGTGGGAGAGTCCTGGCCTCCAAACACCCAAGGCAGTGCGGCGGCATCATCCTTCAAACTCTCTGCAAGACGGGCAGCCGGAGTTCCATTCCACAGACGCTGAAACTGAGGGGCAGAGACAGGGTAGATGGGGTCTCCTGTTCTGCTCTGGGACCCTGGGGTGTGTAAGCCTCACCTGGCCTGTGCCTGGCCTGCCAGATGGGTGGGTGGTGTGTCCCCACCTGCCATGCAGGGGTGACAGGAGGAGGAAAGGACCTCTAAAAAGGCCACTCCCACTGGATGCAGGCCTGGGTGCAGGAGGGTTGGGCAGAGCTGGGGGGAGTCCCTCCTTCTCTGTGACAGCCTCCCTCCAACCCAGGCCCGTGGGTCTTTGCTTCCCCGTTTTCCCTTCCTGCACCCTTTCTCTTGCCCCAGATCCTCATCCTCCCGGCCCCCAGCCCCCGCTCCGGTGAGCCCATCAGGCTTGTGATGGGGTTGGTCGCTGTTCTACCCTAAGCCTCAGTTCTCAGGGGCTCAAGCTCATGGGGAGGGGCAGGCAGAGACAGGAAAAGGGGGTGATTTTAAGGTGGCAGGTGGGGTCCCTTTCCCAGGTGACTCTGAATTTACTCTGGAGGCAGAGGAAAGTTCTGGGCCCAGCAAGGGATGCCCCTGCGGTGTAGCTTGGTGCCTCCTCTCCTGTGATGTGAGGAAATTTGCCCAGGGGACACCAAGGCCCTGCCAGTTTGTCCACCCTCTACACCCTGGGAGCTGAGCTCCATCCAGCCCTCAGCAGCCTCGGTCCAGATCTGTCAGGCCAGAGGCCGGAGCGGCTTCCTGAGCTGCAAATCTCTGTGGGCTCCAGAGAGAGCAGTCACCATGCCTGGCCTTCTCTGTTCAGTGGCCAAGGCCACTGGGCCTGTGTGGAGGTTGTCAGAGCTAAACCAGGCTCTGGGTTGATCTCTGTTTCACCAGCTTTCGCTGGGTCCTCTTAGAATAAGCCTTTAGTCCATCCCCACCTGGGGCCATGGAAACGGATTGGACACCGTCCTGCTGTCAGAGAGCACATGGCTCAGGGGAGCTGTTCATCCTCAATCAGAGGTTGTCTTGTTGCCAGTTACAGCACAAAGGCAGGATGTCAACTGTGCTTGGTGCCTCTAGGAAGGCTTCCTGGAGGTGGTGTCACTTCAGAGATTCATAAAGTTTAAAGCGAAAATTGCTAGATGCACAGGGCCCTGGGGGCAGTGAAAACAGAGGAACAGGAAGGAGTAGCTGGTGTGGCCCTCAGGGACCTCGGGGGCTCAGCCTCAGGCCCCCCTGTGGCAGAGGATGTGGTCAGGAGTCTACAAGGGCCTTGACTTTCTGGTTCAGAAGAAAACTTTGTCCAGGGGCAATGGTGAACCTGTGGGATTTTGTTTGCAGGGAAGGAGCTGATCATGCCCTGTTGGTAAGCTCTCCGTCAGCGGGAGAGGGAGAACCGGGGGGTGAGTCTGGGAAAGGTGACCACCAAGAGGTCCTTGAGGATCCAGGTAGGCTGGGGTGTTAGTCCTGCCAGGCAGTGGCAGTAGACCTGGGGGAGCGGACAGACGGGAAAGGTAGTTCTGGAGGGCTTGGTGCCTGGTGGGACGTTGGATGGGGGTAGGGGAACCTCGGCGGGCATCGAGGCTGACTTCCTAGTCCCTGGTCTGGGGGTTCAGACAGATTTGGTGTGGAAGCTGCAGGGACAAGAAAACGTCATCATCAAAAACACTGCAGTCCCCCCAGATTAACCTCCAAGACCCTGGCAGAGTCTTTGAAGATGAGAATGCCTGCTGCTCTGGGGCCAGCCTGGCCCTCTGCAGCATATCAGCTCCTTGGCTGACTCCAAAAAGACCTTTGGACATTTGGGACCAAAGACTTTGCACCCCAGAGTGCCCCTGACACCCCTGCATACCTCCCACATCTCCCCTGAGTCCAGGGAGGGCTCTGCAGGAAAGTCAGATCTGAATCTGGGCCAGATGTGCGCCGGTGCCCAGCAGAGCCACTGCAGGGAATGATTAATGAATGCTCCATCCTCAAAGCTCCGGAGATAAATCCCCACTTGTGTTTAATTCTAGGAAGCTCATCTCTGCAGACCAACTGGTCAAAGGAGACAGGTGGCTCCCTGCGGGCTCCTCTTGACCATGGCTACCAAGCTTGGGTTTCCCTCCCATGCCCACTGGTGTTCTTCTGGCCAGCCTGGGTGCCAGCTGGCACCGGCTCTCTGTCCCCTTCTCAAACTCCTCCCTGTGCCCCACGTGCCAGGTTCTCGGGGACCAGAGTGGGAGGGAGACAGGCAGACACTTACTGGCCCTCCTGGACCACACACATGCATTTTAAATGGTTTTCAACATCAGTCACTTTGGAAGGAGTTGTGATGAATCTCTTTCTGCTTCAGTGGGGACGCCCAGACTCCCCTCCTTGGGTCACACCTCACTGAGTTATTCTTTTTTCCTAATTTCCCCCCAGACTTCTGTACTTTCTCCATCACCTTGCTCAAATAGGGCTCCTCTCTATGGTCTTCCCTGATTACCAGGCTGGGGCATGGAAGATTGGTGGCAAAAGTGGCCCAAGTCCTCCACCCTTCTCTGTAGCTGCAGTTTAGCCAGATAAGTCTTCAGGGTGGTGTTGGTGCCCAGCCCTGTGCCTCAGAGACCCATGACTTGCTTTGGTCAATAGAACATGGCATTAGTCACAGTGTGGCCACTGCAAGCCGAGGCCTAAAGAGATGGCATAGATCTTCATGAAGTCTCGGGACCAATATTTCCCTTCACAGTGTGCATTTTTTGGCATTGTGTTTAGAAATTCCTTCCTACTCTGGGGTCATAAAAATATTATTCTATATTTTTTCCTAAAAGTTTTGTAGTTCTTTTCACATTTATGTCTTTAATCCATCTGGAATTGATTTTTCTGTACAGGGAGGTAGGGATTTAACTTTCTCTTTTTCCTTGTGGAAAACCCACTGTCCCAGCGCCACGAAGGGCTGATCTGTCCTCTTGGTGCCGATTTGTGTTGCTGTTTCCATCGAAAGTGGAATTCCCACACTCCTACATGTTGTTTCCGTGTTTCCTGGTTGGCTCCCTTTGTCTTTCTGTCTCTTCATGACCCACTCACATACTTTCCTAATGACTGTAATTTTAAATTCGTAGGCTTTATTTTTAAGAACAGTTTTAGGTTCACAGTACAATTGAGCAGAAGATATGTTCAGGGATTTCCCATTTCCCCCCTGTTCTGACACATGCATAGCCCTCCTCTGTACCAACATCCCTACCAGGGTGGGACACTCCTCACAACTGGTGAGTCTCCACAGGCACACCATTAGCACTCAAAGTGCAGAGTTCGCAGGAGAGTTCGCTATGGGTGTTGTGGGTTCTATGGGTTTACATGAAGGTACAAGGACAGGTATCTCCATTTTACTGTCATACAGCATAGTGTCACCACCTTAAGCTCCCCTGCACTTCACCTGCTCATCTTTCTCTCTCCCCGAATCCCTGGAAGCCACTGATTTTTTTTCCTCTCCATAGTTTTGCCTTTTTCAGAATGCCACATGGTTGGAGTCATATAATATGTACTTTTTTTTTCAGTTGGGCTTCTTTCACTTAGTAATGCACATTTAAGTTTCTTCCATGTCTGTTCATGGCTTGATAGCTCATATCTCTTTAGTGCTGAATAACATTTCGTTGCCTAGGAGTTCTACAATGTATTTATCCAATCAGTTACTGAAGGATATCTTGTTGTTTTTTTTTTTTTTCCCAGTTTTTGGCAATTATGAGTAATGCTGCTCTAAATGTTTATAAGTAGGTTTTCGTATGGATATAAGTTTTCAACTCCCTTGGGTAAATAAATAACAAAGAGAACAACTGCTCGATCTTTTGGTAAGAGTATGCTTAGTGTTGTAAGAAACCACCAAGCTGTCTTCCAAAGCAGGCATACCATTTGGCATTCCCACAACCCAAGAATGGCAGTTCCTGTTTCTCCACATCCTTGTCAGCATTTGATTATGTCAGTAATCTGGATTTGGGTCATTCTACTAGGTGTATAATGGTGTCTCATTGTTGTTTTAATTTGCAATTTCTTAATGACGTATGATGTGGTTAATCTTTTTATGCTTATTTGCCATCTGTGTATCTTCTTTGGTAATATATCTGTTAAGATCTTTGGCCCAGTTTTTAGTTGGGTTTGTTTTCTTATTGTTAAGTTTTTTAGAGTTCTTTGTACATTTTGGATAATAGTCCTTTATCATGTATGTCTTTTGTAAATATTTTCTCCCAGTCTATGGCTTGCCTTTTCCTTCTCTTGACAGTGGCTTCATAGAGCAGAAATATTTTAATTTTAATGAAGCCCAGCTTATCGATTCTTTCCTGGATCCTGCCTTTGGTATTGTATCTAAAAAGTCATTAACAAACTCAAGATTGTTTAGATTTTCCCCTATGTTATATTTTAGGGTTTTATAGTCTTGAATATTATATTTAGGTCTATGATTCATTTTGAGTTACATTTTTGTGAACTGTATAAGATCTGTGTCTAGGTTCATTTCTTTTTCTTTTTGCATGTGGGTATTCAGTCATTCTGGTACCGTTTGTTGAGAAGACTATCTTTACCCCATTCTATTGCCAATCCTTCTTTGTCAAAAATCAATTGACTATATGGGTCTATTTCATGGCCCTTTATTTTGTTATGTTGATCTATTTGTCTTGTCTTTTGCCAATACCACACTATAGTTTTCTTTATGGTAAGTCTTGAAGTCAAGTAGTGTTGATCTTCTAACTTTGTTCTTCAATATTGTGTTGGCTATTCTGAGTTTTCTGCCTCTTCATATAAACTTTAGAATTAGTTTGTTGATACTCATAAAATAGCTTGCTGGAATTTTGATTGGGATTGCATTGAGTCTATAGATCAAGTGAGGAAGAATGGGCATCTTGATAATATTAAGTCTTTTTATCCCTGAATGTGGAATATATCTTAATTTATTTAGTTTTTCTTTGATTTTTTTGATGAGAGTTTTGTAGTTTTCTTTTTATAGATCTTATACATATCTTGTTAAATGTATATTTAAGCATTTCATTTTGAGGGGGTGCTAATGTGAATGGTATTGTGTTTATCATGTTTTAAATTTTGAATTCCACTTGTTCACTGCTGCCGTGTAGGAAAGTGACTGAATTTTGTATAAGAACCTTGTATCCCACAATCTTGCTATAATTACTTATTAGTTCTAGGAGTATTTTTTGTAAATTCTTTTGGATTTTTTTACATGAACAATGATGTCAACTGTGAACAAAGACAGTTTTATTGCTTCCTTCCCACTCTGTATATGTTTTATTTCCTCTTCTTGTCTTACTGCATTAGCCAGGACTTCCGGTATGATGTCGAAAAGCAGTGGTGAGAGAGGACGTTCTTGCCTTGTTCCTGATCTTAGTGGGAAAGTTTTGAATTTCTCACCATGAAGTACAATGTTAATTATAAGATTTTTGTAGACATTCTTTATCAAGTTGAGAAAGTTCCTCTCTATTCCTAGTTTACTGAGAATTTTTATCATTAATGCATGTTGGAGTTTGTCAAATGCTTTTTCTGTGTCTATTGATATAATCATGTGATTTTTCTTCTTTAGCCTATTGATGTAATGTATTATATGAACCAGCCTCGAATACCTGGGATAAATCCTGTGGTGTATAATTCTCTTTTATACATTGTTGATTTCTATTTGCTAATATTTTGTTAACTTTTGCGTTTATGTTTGTGACACATATTGTTCTGTAGTTTTCTTTTCTTGTAATGTCATTGTTTTTTGTTTTATTTTGTTTTGAGACAGAGTCTTGCCTTATTGCCCAGGCTGGAGTACAGTAGCACTCACTGCAACCTCTGCCTCCCAGGCTCAAGTGATCCTCTCATCTCAGCCTCCCGAGTAGCTGGGACTACAGGCTCATGCCACCATGACAGGGTCTCACTGCGTTGCCCAAGCTGTTCTTGAACTCCTGGGCTCAAGCAATCCAGCTGCCTCAACCCCCCAAAGTGCTAGGATTACAAGCATGAGCCACTGTGCCCAGCCTCTTGTAATGTTTTTGTCTGGTTTTGGTATTAGGGAAATGCTGGCTTCAAAGAATGAGATGGGGAGTGTTTTCCTTGCTTTTGTCTTCTAACAGAGATTGTGAAGAATTAGTATAATTTATTTCTTAAATGTTTGGTAAAATTTACTAATGAACCCATCTGGACTTTCTCTTTTGGAAAGTTATTAAGTATTAATTCAATTTATTTAATAGATACAAGCCTGTTCAAATTGCCTATTTGTTCTTGCATGAGCTTTGGCAGGTTGTGTCTTTCAAGGAATTGGCCCATTTCATCTAGATTATCAAATTTGTGAGCATACAGTTGTTCATTGTATTTCTGTATCATCCTTTTCATGTCCATGAGATCTGTAGTGATATCCTGTCTTTCATTTCTGGTATTAGCTATTGTTGTCCTCTTTTTTTCTTAGCCTGGCTAGAGGCTTATTGATCTGTTGATATTTCAAAGAACAAACTTCTGGTTTCATTGATTTCTGCTCCAATTTTTATTATTTCTTCCTATTTTGGAATTAATTTGCTCTTCTTTTTCAGTTTCATAAGGTAGAAGCTTAGATTATTGACTTTAGATCTTTGTTATTTTCTAATATATGGATTCAAAGCTATAAATTTCCCTCTGAGCACTGCTTTTCTTTCATCCAACAAATTTTTATAAGTTGTATTTCATTTTCATTTAGTTGGAAATATTTTTAAATTTCTCTTGAGATTTATTCTTTGACCCATATGTTATTTAGAAGTGTTTTGTTTAATCTTTAAGTAATTTAAAATTTTCTAGGCATCTTTTTGTTATTGATTTCTGATTTAATTTCATTGTGGTCTGAGAGCAGATATTGTGAGATTTCTATGCTTTCAGTTTGTTAAGGTGTGTTTGATGCCCCAGAATGTGGTCTGTCTCGGTAGTTATTCCATGAGAGCTTGAGAAGAATGTGTAATTTGCTGTTGGATGAGGTAGTCTATAAGTGTTAATCATATCCAGTTGATTGATAGCGCTGTTGAGTTCAACTTTGTCCTTACTGATTTTCTGCTTGCTGGATCTATCCATTTCTGACAGAGGTGTGTTAAGGTCTCCAACTATGATAGCAGACTTATCTGTTTCACCGGGCAGATCTATCAGTTATTGCCTCAATGTAGTTTGATGCTTTCTTATTGGGTGCATAAATATTAAGGATGGTTATGTCTTCTTGGTGAATTGAATTTTTTATCATTATGTAATGACCCTCTTTATTCCTTATAACTTTCCTTTTTCTGAAGTCTTCCCAAATTAATTTTAAAGTAATCCTTTATATTTTTATGTTCTAAAAATGTGCGTTATTCTAGTCATTTTTTCTTCCATTATTCTTTTATATTAGCTTTCCATGTCCTATGAGGAAAACTTTGTTAGAATTTTTGATTCAAAAATTGAGAGTACATTGACTCTAAAGGCTAATTTAGGAAAAATTAATGTGTTTCTGATACTGAGTCTGCCTATCCATGAATATGGTATATTTCATAATTTTTCCCAGTAAACATATCACACAGTTCAAAATATTAAAGTCTTGGTTGCCTTTATGATTGGGAATCTTTTCTCTATTTTATTATTGATGATTAGTGGCATATATAAATTCTCTTGCTTTTGTATCCAGCAAACTTACTAGTTATTAGTTATACCTGTATTATATTTATACTACTTATACCAGTTTGTCCATAGATTATTTTAGATTTCCTGTGTGGACAATCATAGTATTTTTCAATGTCTGCATCTTTGAATTTTTCCTTGTCTAAATCTACAAGTACAATGTTGAACATAGTGATGAGGAATCCATCCTTGTCTTGATCCTGACTTCAGTGGGAATACTTTTAAACTTTAATAATTAAGTATAATGTTTACTCTGTGTTTTAGATAGACACTTTTTATCAGCTGTAGCAGAGCCTGCAAACGGACCCTTCTTACCCCTTCTCCCTTATTTTTTTTTTATTTTAGTAATAGATCTCCTTTGGATTGTAGATGAACATGTGTCTACCTAGGTGAAAAGTACATTTCCACTTCCCTTACAGCCTGGTGTGTCCACATGACCAGGTTCTCATTAATAGGCATGGGAGAAGTGATGTGTGCAAATTATATATCACGTTTCCTCTTTGTCTTTCTGTGGAAATGACAATAGTGAATGTACTTTGACTCTGTGGATGAGGACAACATTCTAGAACGTGTAAAACATCACAATAGGAGGCACCTGTGTCTCCAGTGCCTCTGTCTCCCACCTCCCCTGCACTGTTACATGTCACAGACACAAACTTCTCTCCCATCCCAGCCACCTGGCTTTGGTGTCCCTTTGTTCACAAACTCCACTCCCATCCCAGCCACTCTGTTTTGGTGTCCCTTTGTTCAGCAGCTTAGCATCTTTCTACCTTGTCTAAATGTATCCAAATAAGAAAACTTCATGCTATTCATAGTTTGCTAAGAATTTGAAAAACTCAATCTTGAATAAATGCTGAATTCTACTGAATGCTTTTTTAGTTTCTATTAAGATGATAAAATTGGAGTCTCTCATCCTCTCCTCTCTTAATATGTCATTGTTTATTCCTAATTTTTTTTTTTTAGATGGAGCCTTGCTCTATCACCCATGCTGGAATGCAGGGGTGCCATCTCTGCTCACTGCAATCTTCGCCTTCTGGGTTCAAACGATTCTTATTCCTCAGCCTTCTGTGTCCTGGGACTACACGTGTATGCCACCACACCAGGCTAATTTTTTTTTTTTTTTTTTTTTTTTTGAGACAGGCTCTCGCTGTATAGCCCATAGCCCTGGCTGGAGTGCAGTGACATGATCTCGGCTCACTGCAACCTCTGCCTCTTGGGTTCAAGCAATTCTCTGCCTCAGCCTCCTGAGTAGCTGAGATTACAGGTGCCCACTACCATACCTGGCTAATTTTTTTGTATTTTTAGTAGAGACAGGGTTTCACCATCTTGGCCAGGTTGGTCTTGAACTCCTGACCTCATGAACCACCCACCTCAGCCTCCCAAAGTGCCGGGATTACAGGCGTGAGCCACCGCGCCCAGCTTAATTTTTGTATTTTTTTAGTAGAGACGGGGTTTCACCATATTGGCCAGGCTGGTCTCTAACTCTGGGTCTCAAGTGATCCACCCACCTTGGCCTCCCAAAGTGCTGGGATTACAGGCGTAAGCCACTGCGTCCGGCCTATTCCTAAATTTTTGAAATGAGTACTCTCCTTGACTTTCGGAGGTAAACTAAAATGAGCTGTCATTATTTTAATATGCAGCAAGATTTGATTTGCCAGACTTTCCCCTAAGATTTTCAAAATCTATGTTTAGAATTGAAATTGGCGTGATATTTTCTTTTCATAAACGGTCATGTAACTTTAGTCATTAGCTTATACTATTCTCTTAAAGTAAATTGATAAGTTTCCCATTTTTTTCCCTTATTCTCTGCAATAGTGTGCATATATTAGGGATCATTTGTCTCTTGAAGATTTGGTGGCTCTTGCTGTAATACTACCTGGGCTTGGTGACTTTTGTTTGTTTTCTTTGGGTATATAAATGTTTGCTAATCAATTCTATTTTTTCACTGGTTATTGCTTTGTTTGTGTCTTCTATTTCAACTTGAGTTAATTTTGGTAATTAATTTTTCTTCAGGAAAAATGTTCATTACACTGAAATTTAAAATATATTGGCATAAAGTTGATTGCAGTATCCTTTAACAATTCTTCTAAATCTCTTCTGCTTCCTTCTTCATTCCTAATGTGATTTGTTGATAGCACTTTTTTCTTGATTAGTCTTACTAGAAATTTTTCTATTTTATTTTCTCTGAGGGCAGAATTTTGCTTTTGTTGATAATTTCTATTTTTCTTCATTTTCTATTTAATCCATTTCTTCTCATATCTTTACTTCTTTTCTTCTATGTTCTTTAGAATTATTGTCAGTTTTCTATTTTTAGTTAAGATTGTACCTTATGTATTTGTAAGTTTTCTTATTTTTATAATAAATGCATAGTTTACAAATATACCTCTAAAAACTAATTTGCTACAACCAAGAAAACTGCTATATAATGCCTCCCACCCTTTTTTTTACATTCAGGACTAAATCATTTGTAATTTCCATTGCAATCTTCTCTTTAACCCACAGGTTATTTAGGATCATGTGTCAGTCTTCTAAACCTATATAATCTTTTTATGTTATCTTTAATCTTTTTTTATGTTACCTTCTAAATGAATCACATTGTGGTCAGACAATATACTGCATATGAAAATCATTCTTTGAAATTTGTTGAGGTTTAATTTTTGACCTGTAGGTCGTCAAGTTTTGTAAGTGGATTTCCTGTGTTTGAAAGAGAGCTCAGACTCTCCTGCAGAAGTGCCGTCATATCATCGTGTCATCGTGGAGACTGCTTTTCACCATGTTCAGTGCTGGGCAGCACAGGGTGCTTTTTTATACCCTTATAAGTGGGTCCAAACAATCCTGGGAGGGCGGCAGGGCAGATAATAGCCCCATTTTATAGGAGAGGGATTCAGGTTAGAGAGGGAGAGTCATGAGCCTGAGTTCCACAGCTGCCTGGTGGTGAGTCCCTGTGGAGGAGCACAGCTCCTTCCTTCTGTTGCTGTGGGGCACCTTGATGGTGCCAAATGGAACAGTGTTGAACACCATGGAACAGCATGGGAGGGTGTGTGGGTTCTGCCTGCCATGAGCACTGGGCCCTGGTCCTGATACAGGCCAGCAGTTACGGTGCCATGTCTGCTGCCACACATTCTCACATCTGCAACCCCAGACCCTCATTGCGCCCCTCCAGCCTCCCTCGCTTAGCTGAAGCTGAGCCCCCGTCGGAAGTGCCTTCTCCAGCCCACATCATTTCGGTCCACCCCATCCAGCCTTCCCTCTGAGGTCCTCCCCGGCCTTCATGCTTCCTGCTGTCCGTCAAGTGGCCTGTCACCACCCCAACATGGGCCGCACTTTCTGGCCTCCAGGCCTTTGCTCAAGGTGGAATAGCCTCCCTGGGGGTTTCTGCAAAGCCAGCGTGACTTTGCTCAGCACTCTGTGGAGCCTGCGCCCCCCTGGACTTCCCTCAATCTAAGGCATTATCCGGCCACGCCTTTGCCTGCCCGCTGCGATCACAGGGGGTGTTTCTAACACATTGAACGCCCTTCTCCTTGTCTCATCCCCTCGGCGCCTCCCACCGCCTTGCTCACTTCCAGCCTCCCTCCTTTTGGCAGCCCATGCTTGAGTTACGCAAAAGAGTTCCATCTCTCTGCCCTCTTTGCCCAAAAATCGCTGCCAGTGCTGTTTTCTGTCTAGCCCCCTCTTCTCCTTCAGTGATTTCTGGCCAGTGCTACCCATCCTTCAAGACCCGGCTCCATATCCCCTCCTCCAGGCAGCCTTCCTTGGTCTCCACGCTGGGTTAGGAACCATCTACCATTCCATTGAACCTGGGGCCTCCTTCAGTCAGGGCTTGGATGGTGCCATGTGGTTGCTGCCATTTTACTTGGCAGCAGGGCTGGCCCCTGGTTTAAACCTCTGAACCGGGCTGCCTGTCCTGGCTCTGCCCCACAGGTGGGTCTTGGCGTAGGCTGACCGCCAGACAGTTGTCCTCTGAGCTGCTGGCAAGTGTTTGGGGTGGGGCGGGCGTGGCATCACTGTCTCCTGTGTGTCCTTGCAGTGACCCCTGGATGGAAAGCCCAGCCTGCTGACCAAGGTCAACGCCCTTTCCAACGGCCCTTCATTAGCGAGTGGACATCTCGCTGAGTCAGCGGGGACCTCTTCACCGTCCTGTTCAGGGTCACTAGGTCCCTGGAGAATGTGGCCGAGGGTGGCTGGACGACAACAGGGGCCATTGTCCTCGCCTGCAGCGGACGGAGTCGGCCCAGGCCCATCTGGACAGGGCAAGGGGCGTGACCTCAGTGTGCCCGAGAGGTCCCACTGAGCCCCCCCGGGTGCAGCCAGGCTGGTGAAGGGGGCGCACAGATGGCGTTGTCCTGAGAGAGGCAGGCCCTCTGGGAACAGGTTTTAGGGTCCAAGGGGGCAGCTCCAACTCCTCCACCCTCCTCACCATCCCCTACCCCCTACGAGGGACTCTTCCACAGCTTCCCCAAGGCGAGGGTCAGTCGAGTGCCCGGCGATGGGGACCTCTCCCTTCCATACAGTTCCCTCATCTCTGGCACTTGTTATCCTAGCCTGCTGGCCAGAGCGCAGCTTTCAGGGACGGGACCCCCAGTGACTGCACCCCCCCCACCTCCTCCACTCCACCCCACTCCCCACTGCTCCTCAAGAAGAGGAACCTCAGCCCCTCACCTGCCCTCTGCTGGCCATGGAAACAGCCAGGGATGCTGGTGCCAGCAGGGCATCCATGGAGCATGGAGTCTATGAGCTCATTTTCACGGGAGCTCACTCACTGTCCATATCCCCGGGATCAGGGGCCTTCCGCAGGCCTCGAAAGAGGCAGAAGTCCCGAAGCTCAGAAGCACTCTGCCTGGGCTCACTGGATCACCGGATCACTGGGACACAAGGCTGCAGCCAGCAGGGAAGGAGTGAGCCGTGCATAGTGTGGGGCTGGCCAGAGTGGGCGGCTCCGCAACGTCCAGGACTCCCTCCAGGGCTGAGGCCCCTTCTCTGTTGGAACCTCCACCTCAGCCCGGTTTCAGTTTCGGCGCTTTTGTTGTGATGATACTGTGGTTGCTATCGTTTTTACTTCATAAGCTTATTGTATTTTAAGAAGTGAAACGTTACAGCTCAGCTGAGGTCTCCTACTCCCTTCCCCTTCCCCTGAGGTCACCCCCATTCTACAACGTGCGTTCAGACGTTTTAGCTGCATGTGTATCTGGCGTGGGCAGCAGGTGCTCCTGATCTGGGTGTTTCAGGCATTAACAAAAAGTCAGGCCATGTACATGTCGGGCCATTATTCAGACTGAACTGTGCTGATGCTCGTGTGTGTGTCCAGAGCATGGGCTAAATGAGAGTTGCATGTTCTATTCTAAGAATGGAGACATAGCAGTGGCCTCTAGTTTGCTGAGGAGGAAACAGAGGCTCTGCGAGGCTGAGGACTGGCACATTCACGTGGCCAGTGTGCACCCAGGCTGAGCCTCAAAGCTGGGTCTGGCTGCAGACCCTGCCCCTTCTCCCTCTTGGGCTACAGGTGGTTCCCCTGAAAGGGAGGCTGCCCCACCCTCCGCCTTCTTACTGGGGGGGCTGCCCCACCCTCCGCCTTCTTACTGGGGGGGCTGCTCCACCCTCCGCCTTCTTAACTGGGGAGGCTGCCTCACCCTCCACCTTCTTATTGGGGATGTTGCCTGGCCCTCCACCTTCTTACTGGGGAGGCTGCCCCACCCTCTACCTTCTTACCAAGAGGCTGCCCCACCCTCTACCTTCTTACTGGGGATGCTGCCCGATCCTCCACCTTCTTACTGGGAGGCTGCCTTGCCATCCACTTTCTTGGCTGAGCCCAAGCTCCACCCAAAGCTTTCTGGGCCGCAGCGAGCCACCTGGGTCACTTGCTTGCCTGCTCCCCTCCTCCTATCACCCTTACCCTTGCTCTCCCCTGCCAGGCAGTCACCACTCCCTGAATGAGGCCCATGTGCTCCTGTGGCTGGGCCTCTGCCCAGGCTGTTCCTTCTGCTTGCCTGCCTGAGTCCCACCTGGGCATTAAGGCCTGGCTGAAATGCCCCTGCCAGGCCCATCACAAATGGTTAGGAACGGCTGTGTCGGTCACCTCACCCAGTCAGTCACCAGCTGAGAACCAGTTGCTCTCCCCAAGCACCTGGGCCAGGGCCCAAGGAATAGGTGCTGCCCAAAGCTGCCAGGAGGCTCTGATCTTTGGCAGGCATGGGAACCACACTGCTGAAACTCCCCGTGTGATGCTGCAGGCTGCCCAGCCTGACAAGTGTCCTGCTGGAGTGACCACCTCTGGGGACCAGAGCTCAATTCTGCATGCAGAGAAGGGAGGCGGTGCTTGTCTTAAACCAGACACAGGCTGAATTGAGGCATCAGAGACACAAGCCCACGTGAGAGGTCAGCATCCCTCTGCATGTAGAGCCACCCAGGCGAGCTGCCAGCATGTCCCATGGCCACATGAGAAGCCCGCATTTCCGGCTCAGACCCACCTGACAAATTAAGAGATGTCTGGGGCTCTGGCTGCTCCGGAAGAGCCACCAATTAAGATGTCTCTTGTTTTGTGCCCCAGAACCTTGTCCCATTGCTGATCAGGTTACAGGAGTGACAGCTCAAAGATGTCGCCTCCAGGGACTTGAAGGGTGGGGTAAGAGGACAGATTGCCTCGGCACCTGGGGCTGTCTCTGGGGACAGGCCTGGGGCAGGCACTGTAATGTGAGGCTCCCACAGCCGTGGAATCCTCCAGCACCTGGTGTGGGTGGCGTGGGGCTCAGCAGGGCCTCCTTGCCTTCCTGCCGAGTTGGCTTCCTGCCATGGGCATTGCTCCCCAAGCATCGACTGCCCAGCAACTCTGCAGCCCAGAAGTCCATGCAGTTTTGTGTCAAGGGGCAGCTGGTCCACACCGTAGGGCTGTCATTCCATCCTCACCAGCAATCTGTGCTCCTACTGTGCATCCAGTCCTGTGCTGGACACGGGGACAGGGACAGTCCTAAGCAGAGACCAAGTTGACAACAAGCAGAGCTAGCCTGGGGAAGACCCGGTAGAAGAGCTTCTGAGTCCAGGGAACAGCAAGCCGGAGCCTCCGGGCAGACCTGGGTGGAAGAGCTTCTGAGCCTGGGAACTGCAAGCTGGAGCCTCTGGGCAGACCTGGGTGGAAGAGCTTCTGAGCCTGGGGAACAGCAAGCCGGAGCCTCTGGGCAGACCTGGTGGAAGAGCTTCTGAGCCTGGGGAACAGCAAGTCAGAGCCTCTGGGCAGACCTGGTGGAAGAGCTTCTGAGCCTGGGAACTGCAAGCCGGAGCCTCTGGGCAGACCTGGTGGAAGAGCTTCTGAGCCTGGGAACTGCAAGCCGGAGCCTCGGGGCAGACCTGCTGGAAGAACTTCTGAGCCTGGGAACAGCAAGGCGGAGCCTCCAGGTAGACCTGGGTGGAAGAGCTTCTGAGCCTGGGGAACAGCAAGGCGGAGCCTCCAGGCAGACCTGGGTGGAAGAGCTTCTGAGCCTGGGGAACAGCAAGCTGGAGCCTCGGGGCAGACCTGGTGGAAGAACTTCCAAGCCTGGAGCTCTCCAGCGACCTTGACATGATCTTGATAAGAGCAGACTCAGTGGAGGGGCCACACTGGCACGCTGGCAAATGTTTAACAACTGGTTCTCTGGGAGAGAAAGCTGATTTCTAGTATTTGCTGATTTCTGAAATGTATCCCACTGTGGCAGAGCATGACAGTTTACCAACTGGTTGGGAAATGTCCTGACAATTTAACAACTACTCTCGCAAGCCAGTGTAAGCCTGCTCCAGCAGCCTGTTGGGTAGGGCTGGTTCAAGAGAGAATGTGATGTGAAGGATACGTCACCTCTTTGAAGGGCTTCTAGTGCAGAAGGAGTCAGAAAATGAAATAATATCTTAGAGGAACATGGAGCCAGGTGAGTTTTTTTTAAAATTAATTCTGTTATAATTTACTGAAAGGGGGCCACAGGAGATATATTTAGATAATAGAACAGGAGAGAGGAAATGTAAGGTTTGTGATTTCATGTCTTCCAAAGAGATTCCCCCTCCACTCATCATCCTTAAACTCCTGTTGAAGGAGCACCAGTATGTGGCCAACTCTGGGGTGGGTGGGGAAGGATAGGATCCAGCATGACCCTGCCTTCAAAGAGCTCACACTGCTAAGCAAGGATGGCTGGACAGGGACAGAAGATAGCAATGATGGATGCAGCATACAATTCTGGCCACTGAGAAATTCTAAGCTGTACTACACATAACACTGCATTCCTTCCCCTTTGCCATAATGATCATCACCATCATTAATGTTATCACCACTATAATCACCACCATCATCACAATTATCATCACCATCATCATCATCACCACCACTGTCACCATCATCACCACCATTGTCATCACCATCACCACCATCCCCATCACTTCCATCATCACCACCACCATCATGGTCATCACCATCATCACTATCACCATCACCATTATCATCGTAATTATCACCATCACCACTATCATCATCACCATCACCACCATCACCACCATCATCATCATCACCATCACCACCACCACCATCACCATCACCACCATCATCATCACCACCATCACCACCATTATCCTCACCATCACCACCATCACCACTATCATCACCATCACCACCATCACCACCACCACCATCATCACCATCACCACCATCATCATCACCACTGCCATCACCACCATCATCACCATCATCACCACCACCATCACCACCACCACCACCATCACCACCATCACCACCATCACCATCATCACCATCACCACCACCATCACCACCATCATTATCACCACCACCACCACCATCACCACCACCATCACCATCACTACTATCACCATCATCATCATCATCACCACATAATCACCCAGCAAACTCTATCTCCTTTAAATTTTCTGAAAATTTATCTTGAAAATTCTGCAGTTTGCTCTTCAGCTCACCTCCTTCCTCTTGCATCTTATCATAGGCTGCAAGGAGAAGAAACTGGCACTTTCAATATATTTTCCTGGACATCTTAGCTAGATCAGGGGTGAGCAATCCAGCCTACTGCCTGTTTTTGTAAACAGGGTTATTGGAGTGCAGCCATGCCCATTTATTGGTGTATTGTTGATGGCTGCTTTTGAGCTACAACTATAGACTTGAGGAGTTTCAGCAGAGACCATCTTCTCCACAATATCTAAAATATTTACCATTTGGCCCTTTACAGAAGAAGCTTGCTACATCACTGGGTTAATTAGGTACCCTTTTCCTGCTTTCCACGTTGTAGCTTATGGCAGTATTGGCCTCCTTTGGGTTACTGACCTCCCTTTTTCTCTGGTTTCCAATGACGTTCTTCTTGGTCTTCCTCAAGCCCTCACTGGCAGTCTTCTCAAGGCCCCTTTAGCTTCTATCCACTGCCCAGGACCAGAGTTAATGCTTGGGATTTGCCCAGACACCAAATCTCTGTCCTGTCAATGTAAAGCCACCTCAAACTTAGAAATAAAGCCACAACCTCTTTGTGGAAGGAGCCAGTGGGGATGACTTGTCTGCTCCACACAGTCTGGGGGACCCCTGCTTGGAAGACTGGGGGCTCTGGGGGACTTAATGCCTGGGGGCTGGGATTATCTCATTGCTCACATGGTTGGTGCCTGGGCTACAAAAACCGGAACTGTTGGCACCACCACATTTTCTCAACTAACCTCACTGCCATGATATTGGCTACAAAAGAGTCACAATCGCAGCCAGCCAGCTTCAACGTATGCATACGTGTGCGTGTGTGTGTGTGTGTGTGTGTGTGTGTGTGTGTGTGGTCTGTGACCTGCCTCTCGATGCCAGAAGGTCCAAGAATTTGTAGACAGGTTTTAAAGTTGCCACACCTCCATTTTGTCATCTGTAAAATGACAATGAGAATTCCTACCTTGTGAGGGTGTGGGCATCACAGGGGTTAGTCCACACGGGTTGCATAGGACAGCGCTTGGGGTTCAGCAAATGCTCTGGAGCTGCTGTTATCATCCTTTGTAACATTCCAGCTTCTAATTGCAGCATGCACACTTTCTTGGCATCTGCCACCTGACTTAAGCTGGTCAAACATGACCTCACCCTGAAAGGAGGAGAAGGTGGAGGAGCTCTCATAGGCTGCGCCATGCACCGGGCACACGCCAGGTCGCCGCTGTGGTTTCATCTCCCCATCTCACTGTGAGAGAGGTGGTGACTGGCCTCACAAGTCAGGAGAGGACCCCCAAGCAGCAGAGGCCGAGCACGGTGCCTGCGTCCAGGGTCTGCTGGCCACTTGCTTAGTGCTCAGTTATCCATTCAACATTCATGCATTCACGTGGTATTTCCTGAGCTTCTGGGCAGAACCAGGTGCCCCTCTCATGCTGGGCAAGTGGATCATCCCAAGCTGCCTTTGCATGGGTCTTCCCACCTGGTGTCCCTTGGCGAATCCTGTTATTGCCTCTGGCTGTCCACTCTGCCTGCCTGGAAGCCCGCCATCATTTACCCACAGCCCTCCCTCTTTCAACAAAGGATATGAAGCTGTTTACACGATGAAGCACTTAAACAAACATCATTAAACCTAAATAGAATCCACAACAGGAAAGTAAAGGATAATGCACATGTTATAATATAAAGGACCAGCCTTGCTGACGGACTTAAGCTTTTCTTGGCTTTTGAGCTTCCTGGTAGCCAAGGAGAAAATACATCATGATTAAGCTTACAGTCTTCAGTAGGGGATTGGAGGAAGCACATCCTCCAGCATGTTCCTTTAGCGAGAGTTCTACCAAGCACTCAATTAAAAAATAGAATTCTCCTGGGGGGTGCTTCCAAGGGAGTGTAGTAAAATGAAGTAAAGAACCGCTTTCCCCAGCAGTGTGGTTGATGACTTGTTTTCCACCCAAGGCCAATGTGAGGTTCTGCTTCAGAGCCAGCTGTTTACAATATCTCCAAGCTCAAGTGGAAACAAGCCCCGGGATTATCTCTTCATTTGGGGTCAAAAGGCATGAATTTCAGCGGCGAAATGGTCCACGCTGCAATCTTTGTTTTCTGCATGAGCTGATAAACTGTGAGGCCAGGCCCACGGGGCCTCCCCGCCACATTGCCCCTGAGCTTCGGTAAATCTTTTGACAGGAGTCATTGTCTGGGGCAGCGCCCTAAACGACTTCTCTAAACGGAGTTATTCATTTGGTCATAATGGGAGGCCAGGCCGCCTGGCCCTGCTGATGGTGATAATTTCACATTGATGACCTGTCTTGTCAGGGTATTTGCAGACTAAATGCCTGGCCAGCAGCGTCTCCAGCAGGGGAGGGGGGATCCCCCTAGGTCTGGGGTCTGGACTGTGAGTTTGGGATTTCTGGTCAGGAAGGCAGGTATGGGAACTCCTTTTCCTGCAAGACAGGAAAGGATGTTACAGAGAGGGAAGACAGAGTGCTTGGAGCTCTGGCAGATGGGGGTTGCATCTTGGCACGCAGGGTGACTTTGGGCCACTGACCACCTCTTTGGCCTTAGTTTTCTCATCTGTAAAATGAGGAGTAAGAATGCCTTGCCCCTGGGGGACTCTGAACACAAGTGGGGAGCTTCCCCTCCCAGGGCGCAGCACTTGGCCAGACTGGTGGAGATACTTGGCCCAGGTTGGTCAGGAGGCTAGCTAGCAGGTCACACAGAGCCAAGCAGGAGATGCTTCGTAAGGAGGCACCTTCTCCCTCTGTAAGCACTTGCTTCGGTGCACACAGGAACTCGCGGCGAGGTGCATGGACCCTCAGTGCGCAGCGGGTGACCTCTCTGGCCAAGCACCGCTGGGGGACCAGCACCGGGCCAGGACCACGGCTCAACCATTCGAAGCACCCCTCAGCCACTCCCCGAAGGTAACACTGGGGGCTGGCTTTGCCTGTTTCTTTCGTACTTTGGGAAAACAGAATCACCCAGGCTGGGCTCTTTTGCTGGCGTCTGTCAGGGAGATTCTTCCTGTGCCGCCTGCAGCGTGGGTTGCCCTGTTGTCTGCTGTTGGGTGCATAGACCACACATTATAAAAGGGAATCTGAATGAGAAGAGTCATCTGGTCCCCTCCCCTGTTCCTTCTAGTTCTTGAGCTGCTAAGTGTGCCCGGCACAATGCCGGCTGCAGGGGCACTGGGTGATGGCATCCTCTGTCCCTCCCGTCCCACCCCTCCCTCTGCTGATTGGACCAGTCAGGGGCCTTGGGACCATATGGGTGGCATGGAGGGTGACCAGATGCACCACTGAAAGTCACGGACCCTGAGACAGTCCTCAGTCCCAGGCAACCCCAACGGTCCCTCGTGGTCTGTTGCCCACAGGCTTTTCTGGAGCAGCCGGCCTGGGAGGGGTGGGCCTCTAGCAGGGTGTCTCCCTGGATGTGGGAGCAGGCAAGGATCCAGCAGGAGCTGGAACTGCCAGGGCTTAGGTGGGGCTGCTGGGGTGGCAGAGCGGACCTGGGGGTGTAGGTTGAGAGGGTGGATGCCCTGCTGCCCCAGGGTGGCTGGGGTGCCCCTGCTTGGAGCAGCCTGGCGGTTGGCATTTCTGGGTCTCCTGGGTGCCTGCCTCCCCTATTTGTCCTCTGCCAATCCCCACCCAGCCCTGGGAAGCCTGCGCTCTGCTCCTAAGCAGCACACGCAGTGAGACTGGACTCCAGATGCCCGGATGCCCCGGCCTGGCTGAGCCCTTGGGGCTGCGTTTGCTTGTGGTTGGCACCCACCTTGGTGTTCTTGGCCCCAGATGCTCTTTGTCTAGATCGGGGGTTGGGAAACAACAGCCCCCGGGCTGAATCTGGTCTGCTTTTGTATAACAGGTGATCTAAAAAAGGCTTTTATGTTTTTAAAGGCTGAAAAGAATCAGAGGAAGACAAATATTTTGTGACACATGAAAACGATAAGAAATTCAAATTTTCATGTTCATAAATGACGTTTTCCTGTACTTGTTACCTTCGGCTGCTTTCCTGACACCTGGACAGAGGTGAGCAGGTGCAGCAGAGAGTGCAAACACAGATTCTCCTAGGCCTTTACAAAGTTTGTCGACCCTGGTTCTGAACCTCACAGAAAGGGTTTGCTAATCATAGCCGTTAAAAGAAAATCTGGTAAGATGTGGTATCTCTAAATATCTACCTTGTGATTTTCTCAATTGTGGTAATATATACCTAACATAATATTTATCATTTAATCACTGTAATTCACAAGCAATAGCATTAAAGACATTCACCATGCCATGTACTCGTCACCACTGTCTCTCCCCAAGCCCTTTCCATTATCCCTGTGTTGGTCCATTTTATGTGTCAACTTGACCGGGCCATGGGATGTCCAAATGTTTTGTTCAAACATTATTCTGGCTGTTTCTGGGAGGGTGTTTTCAGATGAGGGTCACATTTGAACCTGCAGACTGAGTAAAGGAGGTCGCCCTCCCCTAGTGCGTGGGCCGCGTCTGACCCATCGAAGGCCTGCACGGAACAGAGGGCCACCTCTCCCTGGGCAAAGGGCACTCTCCTGCCTGGCTGTGTGAGTGGGGCCGGCGCACCATGGCTCTCCAGCAGCGCCTGGCCCCAGACTCCAGCAGGAACATTGACTCTACTGACTGTGGGTTGGCCAGCCTCCAGAAAGCCAACTCCTTACAATAATGTCATCTCTGTGTGTGTGCGCACACGTGTGTGTGTGCACGTGTGTGTATGTGCACGTCTTCCTCTGTGTGTGTGCACATGTGTGTGCCTCTCCCTCTGTGTGTGTGCATGTGTGTGTGTGCCTCCCTCTGTGTGTGTGTGTGTGCATCTCCCTCTGTGTGTGTGTGCACGTGTGTGCGTCTCTGTGTGTGTGTGCATGTGTGTGTGGGTTTCCATGTGTGTGCGCGCCTCCCTCTGTGTGTGTGAACGTGTGTGTGCGTCTCCCTGTGTGTGTGTCCATCTCCCTCTGTGTGTGAGTGTGCATCTCCCTGTGTGTGCATCTCCCTCTGTGTGTGTGCATGCATCTCCCTCTGTGTGTATGTGTGTGTGTCTCCCTCTGTGTGTGTGCACGTGTGTATGCCTTCCTCTGTGTGTGTGTCCATCTCCCTGTGTGTGTGTGTCTCCCTCTGTGTGTGTGTGTACGCGTGTGTCTGCCTCCCTCTGTGTGTGTGTGAGCATGTGTGTGCCTCTCCCTCTGTGTGTGTCCATCTCCCTCTGTGTGTGTGTGTGTGTGCATCTCCCTGTGTGTGTGTCCATCTCCCTCTGTGCGTGTGTGCGTATGTGTGCGTCTCCCTCTGCGTGTGTGAGCATGTGTGTGCATCTCCCCCTGTGTGTGTGCGTCTCCCTCTGTGTGTGCGTGCACGCGTATGTGTGTACATCTCCCTCTGTGTGTGTGCACGCGTGTGTTTATCTCCCTCTGTGTGTGTGCATGCGTGTGTTTATCTCCCTCTGTGTGTGTGTGTGTGCGTCTCCCTCTGTGTGTGCGTGTGCACGTCTGTCTCCCATCGGTTCCATTTCCCTGAAGAACCCCGGACTGACACGATCCTCAACAGAGCTCTGCACCCACTAAACAATAACACCTCCTTCCTCCCCAACCCCTGGGAACTTTGAGAAACCGGACCCAAGCCGGAACACCAAGCGGGCCCAGGTGGGAGTTCTGAGGTCCCTCTAAGTCCGCCTTGCAACAACTTGTCCCCCAAATAGGTCTCTCCTGGCTGCCCCCCGCCCCCTGGCCCTTCCCTGGCTGTGAGAAGAGAAGGGACCACACACCTTTCTCGTGGGATTTTCCTGAAGCACTCAGAGACTTCAAGTTTGCAGCCCACCCAGGTGCACCTGAGACACTGGATTTGGGGCCAGCCTCACAGGTCAGCGAAAGTACATGATTCCGTTGAAACCTGTGGAAGAGGCAATGATCAGCATGTCTGGGTTAGAGAGCACTGTTTGATTGACGGGAGATGGAGGATTTTTTTTTATTTAGAAAATGGAGGAATTATTATTTTTTTCTTTCGTTCTTTTTCTTCTTTTCTTTTTTTTTTTTTGGAAGTGGAGGAATTTTGTGTCCACTTAGTATTCACTGAGCAGCTACTCTGGTGTGCTGGGCTGGGGACCACAGAGCTTCGGCCAAGCCCCAGAGGCAGTCACAGTTCTGCTGGGTAGCCAGAGGGGCTGACCACATGGGTCAATGTGCCGGGACGGAGGGAAGCATGGATGCTGTGGAATCCCAGAGGAGGCCCCCACCCAGCCGAGGTTGGGGGATGAGGAAATCGTTTTTAGAGAAGGTGATGCCCAAGCTGGGCTTTGTGAAAGGGCAGGGATTGGCTGAACAAATGAAGTGGAGAGGGTACTCAAGGCACAGGGAATGGCCAGGGCAGAGGCCCTTGGAGAACTGAAGTGAGGGATCCAATCGTGAGAATGAAGAAGGCATGTGTATGTGTGCACCTGTGTGCTATGTGCATGTGCACCTGTGTGCTGTGTGTGCATGTGCACCTCTGTGTGTGTATGTGTGTGCACCTGTGTGCTGTGTGTGCATGTGTACCTGTGTGTGTATGTGTGTGTGCACCTGTGTGCTGCGTGTGCATGTGTACCTATGTGTGTGCACCTGTGTGCTGTGTGCACGTGTGCCTGCGTGTGTGTGTGCACCTTTGTGCTGTGTGCACGTGTGCCTGCGTATGTGTGTGCACCTGTGTGCTGTGCATGTGCACCTGTGTGTGTATGTGTGTGCACCTGTGTGCTGTGTGTGCATGTGCACCTGTGTGCTGTGTGTGTGTGTAGTTAGTGATTCCCAATGGCTTGGAAAGCAACAGTTCCTACATAAAGGACTTTATGTGCTAAGCTTAGGAATTTTAAGAATTTTGAAAAAAGTTAATAAAATTACAACTACTCAGTTACCTGCTATGGGCTCAGGGCAAACCTTTCATCCTCACCTGGGCCTTGGTTTCCCATCTGTACGTGGAGCCCAGGGGTGAGGGAGCTCTTGTAGCTCAGATGCTCTGGGTGTCTAGACCCTGGTCCCCAGCAGAAGGAAGGGGACCCGTGGCAGCTGCTACCACATCCTGAGACCCACCCATCTCAGGAAGGAGCAAGAGGCCTCTGACCCCAGCCTAAGGAGGAACGGGCTCTCAGCTCCTTGTAACAGGAGCCCCGGGCACATAGCTCATTACAACGCCAACAACAAGCTTGCCTTTTAATTCTGCAACTGGAGAGGGGCAGCAGGGATGTGGGGGCCTCCCCGGGGGCCTCGGGAGACTTATTGATCCATCGGTTACAAGCGTCGGCGATCCCGGGTGAGGGGGCTTCAGCTGCCAGGCAGTCTGTCAGAGGAAGACCCTGAGGCTGTGCCACAAAGCAAGGAGGGGCAATGGCATGCTGGTGTTCAGAAGCGAGAAGTGGGGGGTGTCTTTACATTCTCGTTAGAGAAAGGGGGTGTTGACTGACAATCTGTTCTGTATTTGCCAAATAAGTTTGACATGGAGCCATTTAGGTGCACACAACAGTGACTGCCAAGCCCAGAGGTCCATGCTCTGTGGCTCTAGGAGGGTTATTAGATAATTTGTGCTCTGAAGTAAGGAAGACATGGGCTCCAGCTGGAGTGGCCTCCGCCTCTCTCTCCTCCCGGCCTGTGGGCCTCTGTCTCTACCTCTGCCTGCTTGGCCAGCAAGCGTCCTCCTTGTGACAGGACCAGGGCAGGTGAGATCTGGAGAGGCCGGGCTCCTCTGGCCCCGTGCCTTCCTTTGGAGACAGGAGACAGGGGACTGAGTTCCGTTTTGGGAGGATGCTGTCCAGCCTCATGGGATTACTGGGCTGAGGACCCAGGTGAAGCACGCAGGCAGCCGCCACTGTAGCCCTAGGTGAGCACCGTGGATGCTGCAATCTGCACCTGGCCTGGCAGCCCCTCCATGCTGCCCAGTCTCCCTTCCTTCCTCACGATCCCATTCTCGGTCCTTAGGAAGGCCAGATGGGAACATGGGAATTCTGCAGCAAACAGCCACGATCATCACCATTATCTGGAGATGCCGAGGTGGGGAGAAAAGCCTCCCCGCCTGCAGGCCTCCGCCTCTCCCTCCTCCCGGCCTGTAGGCCTCCATCTCTCCCTCCTCCCAGCCTGCGGGCCTCTGCCTCTCCCTCCTCCCAGCCTTCAGGCCTCCATCTCTCCCTCCTCCCAGCCTGCAGGCCTCCATCTCTCCCTCCTCCCAGCCTGCAGGCCTCTGCCTCTCCCTTCTCCTGGTCTGTGGGCCTCCATCTCTCCCTCCTCCTGGTTTGTGGGCTTCCTCCTCTCCCTCCTCCTGGCCTGTGGGCCTCTGTCTCTCCCTCCTCCCGGCCTGTGGGCTTCCGGCTCTCCCTCCTCCTGGCCTGTGGGCCTCCACCTCTCCCTCCCCCCAGCCTGCGGGTCTCTGCCTCTCCCTCCTCCCGGCATGTGGACCTCCGCCTCTCCCTTCTCCCCGTTTGTGGGCCTCCATGTCTCCCTCCTCCCGGTCTGTGGGCCTCTGTTTCTCCCTCCTCCCAGTTTATGGGCCTCCATCTCTCCCTCCTCCCGGTCTGTGGGCTTCCACCTGTCCCTCCTCCTGGCCTATGGTCCTCTGTCTCTCCCTCCTTCTGGCATGTGGGCCTCCATCTCTCCCTCCTCCCGGCCTGTGGGCCTCCGCCTCTCCCTCCCCCGCTCTGTGGGCTCCGCCTCTCCCTCCTCCCAGCCTGTGGTCCTCTGTCTCTCCCTCCTCCTGGCCTGTGGGCCTCCATCTCTCCCTCCTCCTGGTCTGTGGGCCTCTACCTCTCCCTCCTCCCGGCCTGCGGGCCTCTGTCTCTACCTCTGCCTGCTTGGCCAGCAAGCATCCTCCTTGTGACAGGACCACGGCAGGCGAGATCTGGAAAGGCCGGACTCCTCTGGCCCCGTGGCTTCCTTTGGTTACAGGAGACAGGGGACTGAGTTCCGTTTTGGGAGGATGCTGTCCGGCCTCATGGGATTCCTGGGCTGAGGACCCAGATACTCTGTGAGAAGGAGAAGGAAGAGCCCCACGAGGGGCCAGGAAATAAATGAGTCCTGCTGCCGGCATGGCTTTGCCGAAGTCACTCTGCCTCTCTGAGCCTCAGTTTCCTCATCTGTGGGATGGGAGTGCCAGTGCCAGCTCCAGAGGGAGGCATGAGGCAAGGCCTGGAGATATCCCCACGGGCCTGGCGCTGGCACGGTTGCACTCGGAGCCCTGGCCCCTCCCTGCTCTCATCTCCTGCCTCCTGCCCGGTGCTGGAGCCACTTCCCCAGGCCTCCTTCCACTAACTGCTGCCGGTCTCCTGATGACTCCAGCTCTGCCCTAGGGACAGAGACCCCCACCCACAAATGCCCACCACACCATTTCCCAGCAGCCCTCTCCTGGGGAGGTGGGTGCCCTCCACCAGACAACCATACTGGTGTTTTCCACTTGTGTGTGTGTGATTACATCTATATAGTTTGCAGTTTTAACCTTTTTTGTTTTTTTTTTTTTTGAGACGGGGTCTCACTCTGTCACCCAGGCTGGAGTTCAGTGGTGTGATCTCAGCTCACTGCAGCTTCCACCTCCTGGGTTCAAGCAATTCTCCTGCCTCAGCCTCCCAAGTGGCTGGGATTACAGGCACCCACCACCATATCTAGCTAAGTTTTGTGTTTTTAGTAGAGATGGGGTTTTGCCATGATGACCAAGCTGGTCTCAAACTCCTGACCTCAGGTGATCCACCCACCTCAGCCTCCCAAAATGCTGGGGTTACAGGTGTGAGCCACCTCGCCTGGCGACCGTTTTTAAGTGTATGTTTCAGTGGCATTGATTACATCCCCGTGTTGTGCAGCCATCATGGCCCAAACCCTTTCATGATGGAGTTGGTCAATCGCCGTCCCATTGCAGTCTCTGGGCCCCAGCTGTACCCACACCACCTCATCCAAGCCAGCCTCTTTACTGCTGGTCCCTGGGCTGGGGCAGGTAGAGCAGGTGTGCACAGATCTTGATGCCACCAACTACACGCCTCGAGCCCGCAGTTCCCTGAGCACCGGGCAGTGGGGCAGCTCTTGGGGGCAGGAACCTGGAGGAGAGGCATGCATTCAGGCCAGTCTGTCCCTCTAGAGAGATCTGTCCCTTGTTGGCATCGTGTAGGCCTGCAGTGGCAGCGACTCCGATCCAACCCCGGTATTTGTTCTCTTGTTCTTTAACAGCGATAGAACTTCTGATTTGTATCTCTCAGGCACCCGAAAAAAGCTTGCATTTCCCAGCCTCCGTTACAGCCAAGTGTGGCCAGGATACCACGTGCCAGGGTGTGGGATGCGAGTGCTGGGGGCAGCACTTTGGGGCTGGGCCTGCAGGGGGAAGGTCAGCCTCTCTCCTTCCCTTAACTCCCTCGAGTGCAGAGTGGATGAGGGCTGTCCCCAGAAACCTCGCAGAGTGGCAATGCATTTGACCACGTCGGGGAGGGGCTGCCTGTCGAGCTCTGATCTCCTGGCCCTACGGTGTTTAAGCCTCTGAAACAGCAGCCAATTTGTACCTCAGTCATTACACCATCATCAAATGTTTTATTACATAAGCAGAGAACCCCTTGAGGGCAGGAGAGTTTCCAGAATCATCTCCATTTCTGCAGCCTCCAGCCTAGGACTGTAGATAAATCCTTCCCAGGTGACAAAGGCCCTGGAGGATGGCGCCCGGGCTGCTGATGTATGTGGAAGGCTGGTTCCTGCACCAGAGGGCCAGGCGGACGCCAGGGTTCCTGCACCTCCGTCTGCATTTTCTTTGCTGGCAGGCGGTGGCTACTCTTTCACCTGTATCTTGAGCAAGATCCTCTTCCTTTTCACATTTAGCGGTTTCACCTGCTCTGTGCTCTGAAACAGGTCACTATATCCTGGGGTAACAAGTGGCAGGATCTGCATGAGCACTTTGAGTAGCTGTTAGTACAGGAGCTTCGGACGTGTAGGCTGGCAACCCAGAAAACCTTTCTGACCCCTTCTGAGTTTAAAATAGAGCCCTGGATAAGCGAGACTGCTGAAGAGCCGAGTTCTGCATGGTCGGGTTTCCCCGCCTTGGCTGCATCAGCCTTGGCCCGGTCCCGCCTGAGGGGCTGCAGACAGTGGGCGCTGCGGCAGTGGGCATGCTGTGGCTGGCACCCATCTCTCGAGTGTTTGTCTGCCTTGGCCTCAGGGTGGGCTGGGGCTGGTGTTGCTGGGATTCACTTTCGAGGCCCAGGTGGCCTTGTGTGGTGGGGACCTGGCTGCTGTCTTCCTGGGCTGATCAGAGCAGGGGCACGGCCCTCCAAGCTGCCTGTGTTCCATCAGCCCCAGGGATGTGAGGGAGGACATGGCCAACCCACACCCCAAGGCGACCGGCAGTGGCGTCTGCTGGGCCTCCCGTGCGGGATTCATAGGGGATGCCTGGGCTCCCAGGGCTCTGCTGGTTTCAGGAACAGCTAAACACAGATTCTTCACCTCGGGGCCCTGGATGTGTCCCCTCTCCACTGCACGTGGTTTTCTCCTGGAACTTGGCACAGCTCCAAGCATAAGCAGTAGGGTTAGCCCCTCCTAGGCTTCTTGGAGTGGATCACTCAAGACGGCTGGCCGGGAGGGCAGGCCCCAAGCTCTGGGGTTAGGACCAGTGTCCTGGGGCTGCCAAAGCAAAGGACCACCAACTGGGGCCTTCAAACCGCAGCACATTACTGCTTCACAGCCCCGGAGGCCAGAAGCCTGAGATCCAGGTGTGGGCAGGGCAGGCTCCTCCCGTGGCTGGGAGGGAGCATCGTTCCGGCCTCTCTCCGGCTCCTGCTGGCTTCGGCGGTCCTCCGTCATCCTTGGCTTGTGGCTGTGTCCCTGTGGTCTCTGCCTCCATGCTTGCAGCTCCTTCAGCCCTCTGTGTCCCCGTGTGCTTGTGTCCCGTCCTCTTCTCATGAAGACACCAGGCATCGGATTTAGGCCCACCCTGATCCAGAGTGAACTAATCTCAACCTAACTAACTACATTGGCAAAGACCTTGTGCTCAAATGAGGGCACACTCTGAGGCTGTGGGTGGACATGGGTTTGGGGGACACTATACACCCACAGGGACGTCCTCCCCACAGGTGACAGCAGTGTTCTTGGAAGCCAAGCTGTCTACGTGCTGGCTCATGGTGGCTTCCTCTTCCCCAAGGCAGAGCCGGCGGGCAGCGTCCACCCTCCAGGTGGACGCCCCCTACCCAGCTCTCCTCCCCAGCTCCTGCCGCTCCTTTTCAGGGTTCAGTTCACTTCTCAATAAGCCTTTACCCGGTGGGGGCCAGGGGCTGGGCCCTGGCAGGGTGCTGGACAGGGAGTGGTTTCAGCTGGAGATGCCGGCCCCCTTCGCTCACAGTCAACCCAATTGCTTCCTCCAACCTACACCACAGCGCTGAGATCATTTTCAGATGAGAAAATGTGATAAAATTCGAGACGATTGCACAGTGACACAGGGATTAGAACTCACTTCAATGCGGGAGAAAAATGCAAAGTGTCCGTGCCGTCAAGGAATTTCCACCACAGCATTTGTGGGAAGGGTGGGTGGAGGGTCTGGGGGAGCAGCTCTGGTGGGGTCCCTGCTGTCTGTCTGCCTCTTTGTAGCCCTCCCTGCCTGGGAGGGGTCAGCGTGTTTATCCCCATTTTACAGATGAGGAAATTGAGGCTCAGAGAGCTCTGTGCATGTGCCCAAGGCTTCTCCCACAGTGACAGGAGGCAGAGCCTGGGTCCCACCTGGGCCGTGGGCTCCCACACTGCCTCCTCCCAACTCCCTTGCTGCCCCCAGAGGAACCCCCACGCGTGCACCTGAGGAGTTCTCATGACCTCTGACATTGCCCTGCTGGCTGGGGGTTTGTAACATCAGGGACAAAGTGCAGAACAGGGAGGGGGTGGGCGTGGGGATGGCGCCTGCCACCCTTGTGGGTCACCGGCAGGTCTGCTGCTCTGTGGTTGTTGAGGACCATTTTGCTCCATCCTCACCGGCCCCAGGCTCTGGTCTGGGCTCTGCCATGTCCCCCCTGGATAGCCCTGGTCTGGGCTCTGCCATATCTCCCCTGGATGGCCCTGGCTGGTCCTGAGGACTCCTTCCTCCCATCCAGGCTGTCCTCTGCCTCACACGCAGACTAGAAGCCCCTGGGAGGCACCATCATGCCCCTACTCCCTCCAAGAGGGGGCCCGGGCTCCTCTGTGTGCAGCCTCGTCACCCTCCCCACGCAGCAGCCGCGTGGCTCCCTTGGCCCCACCTCTCCACCGAGCCCTGCTGGGCGGCACCTGGTGCTTCCTTCATCCAGGGGCAGTGTGGGTGCCCATCTCTGGTGGCCTCGCCCCTGGTGCCCGCCTGTCTCTGGTGGCCTCGCTCTGTCTTTTGCACCTCCCTTGTTTTGTTCATCATGAGGTGGAAAGCGTATGGGCTGGCGGGGGCAGTGAAATCCACCTCACTCACTCACCTGCTGGGTGACCTTCATGGGGACTCAAATGCTCGGAAACTTCAGCCTCTCAACTGGAAAAGGGGGCAGGGATCAGGGGCCTCTCTGGTGCCTGGCATGAGAAGATGCTCAACATGTTGAGCCCCCGGCCCCTCCTGGGCCCCCATGTCCTGAGGTGGGACCCAGGCCCTGGATGGTGCAGCCCAGGGTCCGCGGGTGTCTCTGAGCTATGGTGAGTAACAGGGGCCTGGAGGACCTCGGTCTGGCTCACGTGCGAGGCCCCTTGGCCTTCCTGCGGCCAGCTCTGGAGGCACCAGATTCTGTGCACAGAAGGACGGACTCCAGGAAACTTGGTAGCTTCTGCCCTCGGGCCGGCAAAAGTTGTCACGGTGTCCCCCACTGACCTCGCAGGGCCCGGACCCTCTGAGCGGGCTTTCCTCAAGATCAATAGCCAAGCCGGTCAGCTGGCAATGTGACACTAATGGACAGAGAATTAAAGAGCTGGGGTGCATATTAATCTGGACAGCCACAGGGTTGGACAGGGCCTGGGTGGGGACGAGGCGAGCGGCCCCTAATGGAGCTGTATTGACCAGGCCAGGGAGACCGCAGCCGGGGTTGGATGTCACTCTGCAGCCCGGGAACTGGGGGTTGATGGATTTCAGTGTTTTATAGGTTTGGGTTTAAAAAGAAGTGACCTCTTTTTTCCCCGGATCAATATACTCTTTTTAGCCGAGCATGATCGCCAATAGTCCATCAGTGCAGTCTCTGGAGAGGTTTGTAAATATCTGTGTTGGAAATATTAATACCTGATTGCAACTAGGGCCTCTGCGACACGGTGAGGGGCCCGTCTCAGCACCCCCGTGACTGTCCGTGCGGCAGGGAGCCCTGGGCCCTGCCTGGGCCTCCAGACATCAGAGCGCCAGGCAAACGCAGGTGTTTTCTCCTCCCTTCAAGGAAGCTTGAAGTCACTCGAAAAGGCCAGCTGGCATCCATCACCATGGACACCAGGTGGGTGGCATCGACTGCCTGGGTGCAGGACACTCTACAGTTTGTACCCTCCAATCGCACCTCCCATCCCCGGGAGGGAGGGAGGGAGGTGAGGATGTGACCTCATTTTAAAGATGAAGAAACCGACTCGGGGGCTTCCAGCCACAGGGCAAGGCCATGCCGTGTGCAGATTCTGCCCGGATGCTCCCATGCTGGCTTCCAGAAGCCCCACTTTGGGGAGGCAGAGATGGGCTGAGCCTCAGTTTTCTCATCTCTGGACAGGGGCCCCGCTTGCCCCTCTCACCAGGGGCTGGGAGCTTCAAAGCTGTGCAGTTCCGGGGCTGTGCTCTGCTCTGTAGTGCCCTGGTGGGTGGCAGGCCCCATCTCTTCTGCCCACCTCCATGCCCAACATGGCCCCCACCCTTGGCACAGCAATGAACAAGGCAAGGACTCCCACAAGTTGAGGGTGGAAATGGCACTTCTTCCATGCAGCCCTCCAGGTTGCACCCTTATAGCTGCTTTGGCTCTCCCCTCCTGACCACTGGCCTCTGCCCACCCCAGTCCTCCCTTCCACTCCCTCCTCCCTACTCCAGTTCCCCCTCTCTGATCTGTCCCCGCCCTTGGCCAAGTGGCCTTTCTGAAGATCAGACCTGATTGCATCCCACCCCTGACTTCCAGATAAAGTCCACTCTGCTGGGCACTCAGGCCCTGCTGACCCAGTCACTCTACCTTACCACCCTCTGGTGCCTGCCCGTCTGTCAGCTGCGGCCATGCTGCAGCACCATGACCCCAGGCCTGTGCTCCTGCTGCCGCACGCCCCCCCTACCCTCACCACGGGAGGCGAGGATGCCGCCCACGAGGATCAAGAGCCCTGCCTGTGGCCCTGTTTCCTTGCTGCTCTGTCCCGGGGCTGGGGGTGCCAGGGGCACGGTTGCTGGCCTCAATCAGCATCTGTGGACCTCACCCTGTACCGGGTGCTGTGCTAGGTTGTCCCCATCTTCTTCTGTACTGGGTGCTGCGCTAGGTTGTCCCCATCCTCTTCTGTACCGGGTGCTGTGCTGGGTTGTCCCTGTCCTCTTCTGACTCTCAGGTTGCAGAGCACTGTGATAACCTGCATTTATGGAGGAAGCAACCCAGTCCCAGAGAGGTCAGTGACCTGCCTGGGCCCACCCAGCACAGTGACCTCCTTGGATCCCTTCACAGCAGTGGAGGCACTGGCATCTGAACCTTCCCACCTCTCTGTGAAGCCTGAGCTCCCACCTCTGCCCCGCAGCGCCCAGCAAGCCCGAGGAGCAGGATTGTGCCCTCGCACCTGGCTGTCCCGCTGCAGGGTGCTGCCCTTCCTGCATGCATGGAGCCCTGGGCCTTCCCTCCTGTGTGCTCTGTGTGAGTGCCGGGCTCACGGGAGCCTGCAGCTGTCCTTTCGTGGAGCTGCCCATGGGGCTTCATTTCTGGTTCCTGGAGGTGGAGAGGCTCCCTGAGGGGCCCTGACAGCCCCTCTCCTGGGGTTCAGTTGGGGGGGAGGGTGCTGAGGGGTAGCCCCAGCTTCCTTGTCCCGAGCGAGGCCTGAGTGTGGGGTGAAGGGTAGAGAGTCTGGGGGTTGTGGATGGGGCTGGCGGAAGGGGGCAGAGCTCACGATCAGGCCTAAGAGGCTGCCCACAGGGCCCACTTACAGGCAAGAGCAGCTGTGGGGAGGATGCCATCCTCTACGAACCCCTAGGCCAGCTGCCTCCCGGAGCCCTGGGCCAACCTGGAGCTCAGTGCGGACGAAGAGGCCTCCGAAAGCTCTGCTCCCTCCTCCTGGCATGCCGGGAATGGGAAGCTAGTCAGCCAGCGTCTCCCAAGGCCTGGTTCAGGGCTCCCACCCACGGGAGCTGTCCAGTGGCCATCGTATGGGCCACACCCACAATGTGTCCATGATAGAGGGGTGACCCCATTTAACAGATGAGGACACAAGGTCCCAGGAGGAAGATGGGCTGGGGCCCAGCTCAGGATGCTGGTCTCCCCACCTTCACCCAGACCGGGGGTCCCGCAGCTCAGGCCCAGTGGCAAGTGAGTGCCTGTCACTCTTTCTGCCCAAAGACCAGCCCTCCCCACCATCTCCCCGCTTGGTGGCCCTAGCCTGGTCACCCTGCCACACCTTTGCTGGCCCCAAACCCAGCCCAGCAGCCCCTCAGGGGGAACTTCCGCCTGGTTCCCACTGTACTCTGTGGCCCCATGGCTGGCCACACACAGGCTCAGAGCCCAGGGTCAGGCTGGTAATGGATGGGCACAGGGAGAGGAAAGGGCAAGAGAGAAAGAGATGGACCACTGGGGAGACAGAGGAGCCATTCAGGGGGCAACAGTGTCCCCATCTAGAGCGTCTGCTCAGGCGCCCGCTCCGCTGGCAGTGAGACCCTCGTCTGCTCTGTTGCCCGGTGGCTCTGAGAACTCTGACGGCACATATCAGTGAATGACTCAGCGAGCAGCAGGTGCTGGGACCCCTCCCATCTTGCTGGGACAACCCCGTTTCAGAGGGTCCTGGGGTCCCTCCGGCCACAGGATGATGATCGGGTGGGCTCCCTCTGCAGTCAGCCACCAGGGGCCTGCAGGAATTCATCTCCACGCTCCAAGTGTTTCTGCACCCAGGGCAGGGGTGGCTGGGAGAAGGAGGCCACAGTTCCTGGAGGAAGGAGGGCTGGAAGCTCGTGGGATGGGGACCCACGTTCCTCCAGGAGATGCTGACTACCCCACGCCCCCAGGCCCACACCCCCAAGGGCCACCTCCCATTCCTGGGAAATGCCAGACCTGAGCTAGCCGGAGGGAGCCGTGGCCGCCCCTTCCTGATGGGCCCCGCAGCAGGACCCAGCTGGCTGGGCTTTCTGAAGGGCCATGGGGACGAAGGAGAGAAAGGGATGGGCACATTGTGGCTGGCACAGGCGCAGGTGTGGAGCACAGGGCTGGGGCCTCCCCCGAACCAAGCCTCGACCCCACCACCATCCACCCACTGGCTTTGCTGCCTGCACAATGCGGGCGCCCTTCATGGATGGGGTTGGGTGGACCTGGCTTCCAGCATAGTCGGCAGAGAGCTCCAGGGCCAGAAGAGTTGCTATGAATGGCAGTGAGACCCTAGACAGGCCCCTTCCCCTCTCTGGGCCTCAGTTTCCCCCTTGCATCAAGAGCCCTGAGAGGGCCGTTCCTGCAGCCATTCCTGCAGCGCTGGAACCGTCTGGCCACCCCGAGTCAAGCCACCCTGCTGGCAGTTAAGAGAGCACAAACATGTCCCATGTTAAATAATTAATTTTTGCTCTGTGATAAAAATGTCATCTTGATTTATAACCCCTCCCAGCAATACAGCCTTTTGAGGGAAACCTGATTCTTAATTATTGTCCCCGGGCCGGCCAGGAGGCGTGTCCAGCTGCCAGAGGAGCGGCCCCAAATGCTCCCAGGCTTCTCTGAACCTCGGCACCAGATGCTGCCCCTGCCACTGGCTCTGCACTCCACGTGGGACTGTGCTGGCCACGACCCATGCCACACACGTGGCCAGCATCCCCAAAGGCCTGGGTGGGAAGCAGACCAGCGAGGGCAGTGGCCACACAGTGAGATTTCAGCAGCTGTGGTCACTGTAGGGTGGACAAGGAAGGCAGGGCTGGGGCTGACTCCCAGGGCTGCGCCTGCAGAGGTGGGGCTGGACGTCAGCTGGGGTCAGCCTAGCTCCAGAGTCCACCCTGGCTCCTGGCCCGAGGTGCAGGAGAAGCCGGCTGTGGCCCTCGCCTCTGCAGCACCTGCTCAGGGTGCCCTGTCCATTCTGCCCCGGGAACTTGGTGGTGGGCTCCTTCCCTCAAACCCAGCATGGGTGGAGGGTGACTCTCCCATCCTTGAGGGCCTGGGACATGGACCGGGGTTGTTGTCCTATAAATGTTTACGGAACATAACGAATGAACAGCACTGAGAAAAGTCAGCAGAGACAGGAGACCTGCCTAGGCAGCGTGCAGGTGGTCAAGGCACTGGGGGTGGATCCTGGCCCCACCTCCTCCACTCCGCCCAGCGAGGAAGGTCCCAAGAGTGAGGTTCAGTAGCTGGATGGGAGCCTGCCTCCTCATCGCTCAGAGGCCAGGGCTGAACACAGGGGGCAGGGGGCAGGGTCAGAGGTCAGGGAGGGCACGGGGAGGGGTACTCCTGGGTTGGGTGAGTGCCTCATTCTTCACCTGGGCAGTGCGTGTACAGGTGCTCACTGTACAATGCAAGGGAGGGGCTAGAGATGCACAGTGGGACACAGGGTTCTTTTGGGCCAAACCCTCCCTTCCAGTCTGCTCCTCACTGCGCTTGCTGATGTCATCGAGGGATTCCTCCCGCCCTGCTGGTCTCTGAGCTGACAGTCCTAGAAGCTCACAGCCGGGCAGTCCCAGCTCTACCCCCAAAACTGATGACATCCTGCCCCTCACACGATTCGGGGAGCAGACAGGATGCGCCCCATTTTTCAGATGAGAATCAGAGGAGTGAAGGTTCTGAGCTGTGGCTCCCACTGAGGGTACAGACCGGTTTCTGCCCACCCGGCCTGCCTCTCGCCCCTGCCCCATCCTCTCTTGTCCCTGTGGCCCCTGGTCAGAGAGGCATCAGCAGAGCCCAGGACAACTGACAGCTGGTTCAGGGCACAGACCAACCCGATGTTAATTCAAGGTGGCTCACATCCGCATCCGGGCAAAGCTGTGATGGCAGCTGCTCCAGTCTGTGCTGAAGAGCAGGGTGGTTAGCAGCAGGCGGTCAGGGCTGAGCTGTGGCTGAGCCGGCAGCTGAGTGCCTGCTGGTGAGGCCGTGGGCATTCTGTGAGCTCAGGTACCTCATCTAACCATTCCGTCATCACATCTAGAAAAGGCAAACTTTTTAAAAAAAATTATGAAAGGCCTGCTCTGTGCAGTGTGTTCCAATGGGTGGGATGCAGTGGCGTAGCTGGTACTGCACTTCCCGCCGCTCAGCCTCAGGACCCTCATACCAACTGCACCAGCCCCCTCCTTTGCTGGCACACAATAGGGATGCAATTGCAGCCCCCATCACAGCTGCTGGGGGGTTCTTGTTTCACCAGAGTCCTCTGAAATGAGGCTGGGGCAACCTGACCCATTCACTTTCCAATCACACTGACAAAGGACTCGTGTGATCTCCACCAGTGCTGGAGCTGGGGAGGGGCTTGATGGTGACTGTGCAAGGATTTCCACGTCCTCAAGGGGGCCTTGATGGGGGCCTTCATGGGGGCTGCCAGGCCTAAGTGTGTCCCCGAGTCCCCACCAGGTGTTGGGGCTGTGGGCTGTGGACATGACGATGGAGGTCGGGCTGCCTCCTTGGCCCTCAGGACACAGGGAGATGGTCAGTGGTCAGCTTGGGCCCAGGGAGGGTCTCTGGTAGGACCTGGGACTGGCAGCAGGGGCATCAGTGGAAGATTCTGGATGAGCTGCCATTTTTCCAGCCGCCAGTCCCTCCTCTGCTGCTGTGCATGCTCAGCTCCCACCTCCTGCTCTGGCCTCCTTTGAGGCCATACGTGTTCTCAGACCCCTCTGAAAATGGACTTGCCCCTGTCCTGGGAATCCTCCCTGATCTCACTCTCCAGGCAGAGTGACTCACTCCACCTTCCTGAAGCTCCATGCTTGGAACAGCCAGACGGCACGGCCAGATTTGTTCAGTCAGATGCCACCCACGGAGGCTGAGTGCCCTGAGGACAGGGCCACATCCTCTGCATTGTGGGGGCTGGTTCTCAGCGCACAGCAGGTGCCTGGTGAATGCTCAGTACTCAGGGGATACCCAGTGAGTGCTCAGTACTCAGGGGGTACCTGGTGATCGCTCAGTACTCAGGGGGTACCTGGTGAGTGTTCAGTTTCCAGGGGGTACCCAGTGATCACTCAGTACTCAGGGGGTACCCAGTGATCACCCAGTACTCAGTGGGTAACCAGTGATCGCTCAGTGCTCAGGGGGTACCCGGTGAGTGCTCAGTACTCAGGGGGTACCCAGTGATCACTCAGTACTCAGGGGGTACCCAGTGATCGCTCAGTACTCAGGGGGTAACCAGTGATCGCTCAGTACTCAGGGGGTACCCGGTGAGTGCTCAGTACTCAGGGGATGCTCAGTACTCAGGGGATACCCAGTGGGTGCTCAGTACTCAGGGCATACCCAGTGATTGCTCAGTATTCAGGGGGTACCTGGTGATTGTTCAGTACTCAGGGGGTACCCGGTGAGCACTCAGTACTCAGGGGGTACCCGGTGAGCGCTCAGTACTCAGGGGGTACCCAGAGAGCGCTCGGTACTCAGAAGGTACCTGGTGAGTGCTCAGTACTCAGGGGGTACCCGGTGATCGCTCAGTACTCAGGGGGTACCCGGTGAGCGCTCAGTACTCAGGGGGCACCCAGTGAGCACTCGGTACTCAGGAGGTCCTTAGTGAGTGTTTGTTGCATGAGTGAATGCAAGATGAACGAACGAGCACCACTCTCATCCCCTGGTGCCTATATGTAAGTCACCTCCCCTGGCCCTGTCTTCCTCCAGCCCCCAGCCCCTTGTCTCCACACCTGCCCTGATCCAGGCCTCGCATCCCCCACAACCTCTCAGAGCCTCGGTTTCCTCATCTGCACTGGGTCATTGCAAAGCCCACATGGGATGGGTGTAGCCTGCAGCAGCCCCTGGCACAGTCAGTGCCCAAAGGCTGGCAGCCCCAGCATGATGCATGGCATTAGAGAAAACCAGCAGAGCACTGCATTCCAGGAAACCAGATTTTAGTACCAAAAAAGGCGAGAATTTCTAGAACTAGAATCGTCATTTCCTAAGATTAGTAATTTGAAGAGGGAGCAGGTCTGGGGAGACCAGGCGTCCTGCACAAAGCTAGCCGGACCCCCACCTGGAGGCGCAGGGTCTGTGCATGGGTGATGATGGCAGCTGCCCACCCAGAGCCTGGCAGAGCCTCAGGACGGGCCCCTTCCCTGCTCCCCAGGAGCATCCCTGGCAGCAAATCCCCCTCCCCTGCTGTCCTCCCCACGTACTTGGCCCGAGGAACATCCGAGTGAGCCGTCGGCCCCTGAGCTTCCGTTCCTCATCTGACACGTGTGTAGGACAAAGGGAACCTCAGAGAACTGAGACACGGGAGAGGAACGGCCATGCGTAGGTGCCCTGGCTGCCATGGCTGCCTCTCCTACCACTCATCCTCATGGCCCTTGCACCAAATGCACCAGCCTCCACCTTGGCCGGCACACGGTAAGGACGTGATTGCAGCCCCCCATCACAGCTGTCGGAGCTTTTGGGAGGACCTGAGTCAAGCAGGCCCCTCCACTCCCCTGGCCTCAGGGAAGGCCTGTTGGTGCTGTGCAGGTGGGCTTCGGGCACAGAGCTGGCAGGGAGGAGAGGGGCCCACAGAGCCATAGCACGTGCCACTCCCGGGGATCTTGACAAAATGAGATGATCTACTTGTTAACTGAAAAAAAAAAAAAAAAACCGGCGGGTGCGGTAGCTCACGCCTGTAATCCCAACGCTTTGGGAGGCCGAGGCAGGCAGATCACTTGAGGTCAGGAGTTCAAGACCAGCTTGGCCAACATGGTGAAACTCTTCTCTACTAAAAATACAAAAATTAGCTGGGCATGGTGGCACATGCCTGTAATCCCAGCTACTCGGGAGGCTGAGAAAGGAGAATCGGTTGAACCTGGAGGCAGAGATTGTAGTGAGCTGAGATGGTGCCACTGCACTCCAGCCTGGGCAACAGAGACCTTGTCTCAAAAAAAAAAAAAAAAAAAAGAGACCTATGATATCTATGAATTTGGAAAGGAGAGGGAGACTTTCTTCTGACGAGTCACAGCCTGAGAGGTGGCCATCCAGGAAGCATGAGAAACAGGTGCTTCGAGGGAGGAGGGGCGGGAGCAGGAGCTTTCTGCTGACCAGGCTGGCTACACAGGTTATAACATGGAACAGGTTATAGGAGGAGGTATGGATATTGCCAAACGTGGTCCTATTGCATGCATGTTGAAGAAACATGCACGTAACGTATGACCCGTGTTCACATTGAGGTGGAGATCTAACATTTAAATGTATTACAACTCCTGCAGGAGCTGATTTTATAAAAAAGTGAAATAAATAAGTGTATTACAGTCAGGCCCTATACATCGAAAGGTCTTTTCAGGCGCAAGTGCACAGTCTCTGGAAACCGGCCAGAGGCAGCCCGTGGTTGCTGGTCTCTCATCAGGAGAAAGTTCCTGAAATGGTCTCTCGCTCAGTGAAAGCTGGTGTTAGGCTGCTGGAGAAGGGGGTCAGCTAGCTGGTGTCTGGAGCTGGATGAGCTGTGATTGTTTTTACGTTTCTTATCTCCAGGCCAGGGCTTGCTTAGCGGCTGGAGAAAAAGAAAACCCTTGTGGCCAGAGCATTTTTATTCTTTAAGTGCAAGCGTGTATGGCTTAACCCGTGCCCCGCAGGGCCTCAGGTCCTGTTTATAATTTGGCATCTTATTGCCACCAAGAGTCTGTTCTGCTGGTCTCATGGCCTCTATTTTAACATTAATGCTGGGCAGTTGTGTCTACACCGCAGAAGGGAGGGGAGTAGAATGAGGCGAGGCTGGCCACCCATCCCATCACGGCCGAGAACTCAGTTTTCAGGGGTTTCTGGGGTCCCCTTGGTTACCAGGAGGTCCGTTCAGTAGGTGGGGGGCCAAGGATTTTATGTTTAGTGTATATAGTAGAAGTGCTGGACGAGGCCAGGGTGTGTCACATTGCCAGGGACAGTTTTACCTTCCTCCGCCCCTCCCCTCTGTAGGACTCACCCAGCATCTCCAGGTACCTGGAATGGAATAGACTCTGGGAGAGCGCAGTGGGAGAAAGAATGCCTGCCCCCCACACCCCCCAGCAAAGGGCACCGAGCTCGAAGGAACCCCGTGTTCAGATTCCCACCTCCAGGGGTCCCAGGCCATCGCCCCTGGTCTGGGGGAGACCTGGTGTATCGTGGAGTGCTGGAGGGCTTTTGAAGCCCCCTTCAGGCGTGTAATAGAAGGAGAAGGAGTGGGGGGCTCCACGCTGGGGCTGCAAAGGACCAGAGGAAGGGAGGAGCCTCTGGAGACTGGCAGGAAAAATGATTCTAAAGTGCTTTGCTTCCCTGGAGGCCGAAGGGAGGGGGCAGGGCAGTGGGGAAGGAGGCTCTGCGGTGGGGGCTGCAGTACCGCCCCCCGCCCACTGCAGACCTGTTCCCAGGCTTGGGGGTCTGCTTTGCTTTGTGGCCTCACTGGGGAAGTGAGAAACAGCTAGGGTGGGACTCAGTTCTTTAGTTTTGAGGGAGAGTGAGGCTGAGCGCAGGACGCTGGGAGGGTGGTGTGGGCAGGAGACACCTTTTCCAAGGAGCTCCGCACACGTTACCCAGAGGCACGGGGGCCGGGCGGGATGCCACCGCAGCCACGTGTCCCTGGGCTCCGGCCTTGCACATGCTGTCCTCCCGTGTCCCCCTCTGCTGGCTGCGCCCCTTCATCTGCAGGGCTCGGCACACGCCCTCTTCCCTGGGAGCCACCTCTGGCCTCCACCAGGCGGGCTGGGCACCTCCCCTTCACCCCACCCTAGCACTCGTTCCAAAGACCACAGTCATGGTCATGGGCTTAACTCCCCAGAGAGACGCTGGTCCCAGGGGCCAGGGCTCTCACTCATTCACCTGCCCCACTGTCACCGAGGCCTGGCTCAAGGCTGGCCCATAGCATCTACTGAGTGAATGAACGAAGGCAGGGAGGAATGAACGGAGCTGACCCACGCTTGTCTAGCCAGGTGCCGGGTGGGTGCCGCGGCTTTGAACACAGTTTTAGATGCAGTCATGGGTGAGATTAACAAAAGCCCACTGCGGGTCTGCAAAGCCCTTCAGCGTCCTACGTGGACAGAGGCCACCTGTGCTGGAAGACGCTCCAGGGAGTCTGGCGCACTCGGGAACAGCTTGCCCCCTGCAGTCCCCCGACGCCCTGTGCGGGGTGGCCCGATGGCCTCCGGCTGCTCCAGGATGGGCCCTGGGCCCAGGGACACCCCGCCTCTCTCTGCTCTCAGGAACATCTAAGCCTGTGAGTCCAAGATTCTATAATGTGAGTATCCTATTACCATTATGGTTCATAACAGTGGTTACTCCTTATTGAGCACTTACCGTATGCTATGGTGTGTGGCCTGTTCTGGGGGCGGCCTGTAAATTATCTACTCAACCCTCCCAGAGTGAGAGGGGTGCTTGTATTTCCCCATGTAGAGATGGGGAAACTGAGGCTCAGGAGGAGCGGGCCCAGGGGAACTAGAATAAGGAAGGCGGAGCTGGCTAGAAGCCCGAGCTGCAACCAGCTGGGAGTTTTAAAAGGAGTTAAATGACTTGCCCACAGCCCTAGAGGGCTGCTCCTAGGTGGATGAGGCCCAGGCTGCTGGCCCTGAGTCCTGTTTTCAGACCTTCACTGATGGCTCTGTCTCTAAGGAATGGTAATGAAATAATGTCGGTGTGACATGGCTCTTGACGCCTGCGAGTGTCTAAGTGCTTTATAACAATTAACCGGGTCTGGCCAGCTCCCACAGCCAAGCGTGATAGCCCGGGGGACCTGTGATGGCCCGAGGAGGGAAGTGGCAGGGGAGACAGACTGAGGCCCTGAGCGCCTGGGAGCTGGCACTTTTAAAGCACAGGAGCCTGGGCTCGCATACCAAATAAGCTTAAAGCCATGGAAATTTAAAGTAATAGTCAGAAGCTGAGTATCACGGACTAATAGAGTTTTGTACCTAAGGGGTCTTAATGTCTTATATTTAAAAACTAGGAACTTGGTTGCAGCCTGGGCTACTAACCAGTTCTGCCTTCCTCTATTCTAGCTCCCCTGGGCCCTCCCCTCCTGAGCTTGAGTTTCCCCATCTCTACATGGGGAAATGTAAGCACCCCTCTCACTCTGAAAGGGTTGAGTAAATAATTTAAAGGCCGCCCCCAGAACAGGCCACACACCATAGCATACAGTAGGTGCTCAATAAGGAGTAACCACTGTTATGAGCCATAATGGTAATAGGATATTCATATTATAGAATCTTAAACTCACAGACTCAGAATCTTAGACATGTCAGTGGTCTCCTCCCGACAGGTCTGCCACTCTTCTGGGTGTCCCTGCACCTGTGCAGGAAGGATATCTGCTTTCCCCCACCAGGGTGCACACAGGAAGTGTTTAATCCATGTTGGGGAATCAGCAGTCTTGTACCTGAGAATTCCCAAATCTTAGACTTGTGGACTCACAGGCTGTGGAGGGAGGGGGCCCTTGGAGACCATCTGGTTTGTGCTCCAGCCAGGCGGGGCTGGAGATTACTCACATTCCCATTGAATGCCTCCCCTGACCAGGAGCTCACTACCTCTCAGCGCTGTTACTGCAGTCACACCGCCCAACTCCCCGCGCCCTCACAGGCACGGACCAAACACAGTTACAGACACTCACAGACATTTATTCAGGGCCTGCACGGTGCCAGCATAAGAGGGAGGAGCCTTTCTGGAAGGTCTCTACGTCTTGAGACTCCCGACAAACTTCGGTCCCTCTCCCCTGCCTAGAATCACCCCTGTGATTTCAGGGAGACCTTTCAACCATGCCATGGAGCGGATGTCCTCTTACCCCGTTGCTTTACAGCTGAGGCAGCTGCGGAATGCAGGAGGCAGGGAAGTGCTCCCAGCCGGGAAGGTGTAGAGAAGCCGGAGCTCTGACCAGGAGCAGCTCCCTGCAGATTTCACCCCAGCACACACAAGGCAGGGCGTTCTGGGCTGAGCAGCAGGAAGGAGCTTTCTTCTCCCCAGTGGTGGTGGTCGCTCACATGGCCCTGCCTCCCGGCCTGGGTCCTGGCATCCTCGTGGGGGAGGTCACAGTCCTCCCTGTGGCCCCTGCCCTCTGCTTCCTGGTGCCAATTGCCTGGGGCCACTGTTGCTGGCTTCCTGCCCGTCTGTACTGCAGGACCCTGGGCTCCCCCAGGCCGCAGACTCTTCCCTGCTTGTTGCCAGGGCTCAACAGAGGCTTAGACCCAACTAGGTGTTCAGCAAATTTGTGCTGAAAGGAGGAGCCTGCGTTTCTCAGAAGCCACTTCCTGACTATTATTACTATAGTATCATCCCCCTTTACAGGGCAGCTGACAGCCCAGGGAGCTGAGTGAGGAGCCCAGGCAGGCAGTCTTCCCGTTTGCTCTGTCCCTCCATATCACACCCTTCAGTTGTTGCATAGAAGGGCCCACTTCTGCCTCAGTTTCCTCATCTGAGCACGGAGGGGAGCCTTGCGCTCCACCAACTTGCTGCCCCCCACCCCCCCCTCCACCCCGCCCCGCTCTACTGGCGTTTATTTCAGCCTTACACTTGTGCCCCTGAGAGCAAGCTGACTCAGGGAGCTTTGCGCAGGGGAGGAAACAGCCCAAAGTGTTGCGGCTTTCTGGACACCCGCTGTGAGCCACCTGACCCGAGCACCGCATGCAGCAAACTGAGGAGATCTCACAGCAAGCTGGCACACAATGTCCCTGCTTTGCAAGTGAGGAAACTGAGGCACAGCAAGGTTAAGTAACAGGCCCGGAGTCACGCGTCCCTGGAGGCCGATCTGGGCTTTCCCCACAGCCCTCTGGCCACAAAGCCCCTGCTCTCAACCCCTGCGCAGTCCACTCCCAGTCCCCCTTCTGCTTGGAGGACCCCGAGAGGCCTGAAGGCTCGCCCCAGTTTATGAACATGGCCCTTCTTTCAAAGGCGAAATTGTCTGGCAGGATCCTAAGGAGGAGAGTGAGGAAAAAAATGACAAAATGGAATAGAGAAATGGAAAACGTTGTGCTCGTAGTGATGGGACTGCCATCCTGGCGGCGGGACTGCCCTCCTGGCGGCGGGACTGCCCTCCTGGCGGCGGGAATGCCATCCTGGTGGTGGGAAGGCCATCCTGGCAGTCTCCCTGACAACCTCCCAGAAAGTCTCAGAAAAAAGGAGTGGAGATGCACCTTCCGGCACTGTCCACCCCGCTCTCTGCAGCCACATCTGCCCTAAGTGGCCTCTGCCATCTCTGGGCCTGGGCCCACTCTCAGCACCCCTGCCTCAGGGAGTGACCTGGGCCAGCGGGGGCCCCCACATGTCTGACTGTGACATGTGCCTCACACACAGCTGGCCTCCAGAGAGACTGAAGGATGGACAGGCTTTACAACCATTAATGCTGCAGCACAGATCCAGAGCACACAGAGGACAGTGGCTATGTCTGCAGGAGACAGCCACACCCAAAGACATCTGCGTCCTCACCCCGGGAGCACCCACATCCTCATGCAAAGAGCATCTGGGTCCTCGCCTCCTCACTCAAGGAGCACCTACCTCCTCATGAAAGGAACACCCAGGTCCTCATTCAAGGAGCACCTGATCCCAACTCAAGGAGCACCCACCTCCTCACCCAAGGAGCACCTACTTCTTTACCCAGGGAGCACCAACCTCCTCATGCAGTGAGCAGCCAGGTCCTCACTCAAGGAGCACCCACCTCCTCACCCGAGGAGCACCCAGGTCCTCACTCAAGGAGCACCCACCTCCTCACCCGAGGAGCACCCAGGTCCTCACTCAAGGAGCACCTACCTCTTCATGCAAGGAGCACCTACCTCTTCATGCAAGGAGCACCCAGGTCCTCACTCAAGGAGCACCCACCTCCTCACCCGAGGAGCACCCAGGTCCTCACTCAAGGAGCACCTACCTCTTCATGCAAGGAGCACCCAGGTCCTCACTCAAGGAGCACCTACCTCTTCATGCAAGGAGCACCCAGGTCCTCACTCAAGGAGCACCTACCTCTTCATGCAAGGAGCACCCAGGTCCTCACCCGAGGAGCACCCAGGTCCTCACCCAGGGAGCACCTGCCTCCTCATGCAAGGAGCACCCAGGTCCTCACCCAAGGAACACCCCCCTCCTCACCCGAGGAGCACTCAGGTCCTCACTCAAGGAGCACCTACCTCTTCATGCAAGGAGCACCCAGGTCCTCACTCAAGGAGCACCCACCTCCTCACCCGTGGAGCACCCACCACCTCTCTTCGCCCCCATCCAGCTCTGTCCCTGACTTTGTAAGGTGTGTGAATGTCAACACTGTGGCTTCCTCGTTCCAGGGCCTGAGAGGCAGTCAGTTCCCCAGGCTGCTCTATTATTCATAGTAATTGAAATAGCAGTCCTTAATATGCTGTCACACACTGCACTGGATAGAGAGTGTCATACAATAGATGACACATTCCTAAGGAGTGCTGTGATGGCCACACTGGGTCCAAATGGCCAGGCGCTAAGGGCACCCTTCTCCTGTGGTGCTGGTGGCCTGCAGGCTCCTTGACCTCCATGCGTCCCCACCAGGAGCCCAGCTGTTGTCCCCTTTCCCAGAGAGGGGGCTCTGTTTACCCAAACGTGAGGGTGGGATGGGAGTCAGATGTCTCCAGCAACCCAGGGGCAGAGACAGACATGGCCCGGGGGCAGCTGTGGGAGTGTGAATGCGCTGGGTGGATGGAGCAGGAGGGTAACGGGGGGTCAGCAGTACCCTTTGGCAACCTCGGCCTTGTGGCCAGGACAAGAATACCCAGGAAAGGAGTGTGAATCCTATTGGCCATCCAAGGGCCTGAACCAGGAATGGAGTTGGGGTGGCTGCGAGGGTGGCCAGGGCTCAGCAGTTGGTGACCTGGGACAGACGTCACGAAGCACACGGCCATGGCTCTACGGCTCTCCGACCACCTGGACTTCGGTGCAGCAACCCTGGCTGGCCTGAAATGATGGCCATGTCCCCACCCTCCCCGTTCGGTGGTGATGTTTTAATCTTGGGACAGAAAGAAACAGGAAGGAACGTTGAAGTGGAACAGTACCCGGAGCAGCACGGCCCTCTCGCAAGGGATCATCTTTGTGAGGGCGATTGATCTGGTTGGTTGATTGATTGACAGACTGATTCATTCATTCATTCATCCAGTCAACACTTGCTGATGCCTCCTCTGTTCCAGACTCTTTCCAGGGTAGCCTGGGACAGAGGTGTGAGCAGCAGAAGGTGCTGCCCTCCAGGAGCTGACCTCCAGGGAGAGGCTGACAGCAAACCCACAGCAGACCCATGGGTGGGGCCCGGTGGTGGTAAATGCCACGTGGGAAAGTAAAGCCAAGGACGGTGGCTGGGCTCAATTCAGGGCAGGGCCCTGATAGCCTCCCGGGCCATCCAGACGAAGCCTGAATGCCATGAGGTTGAGCAGACATAGGAGGAAGAGCATTCCAGGCAGAGGGAACAGCCGCTGCAAAGGCACAGAGGCAGGAGATGCCCAGAAGGTTTTGTGGCAAGCATGGAGGGAGCGGGGTGAGCATCCTTGGCCCTCCTACAGCCTGGGGGATAGTTTTGAGCCAGGGGCCAGGGGGTGGAGTTAGGTTGGAAGGCAGCCGGAGGAGGCTATGAGCTCGGCACAAAAACCCACATCCAGCCAGGCACGGTGGCTCATGCCTGTAATCCTAGCACTTTCGTAGGCTGAGGCGGGTGGATCAGTGGAGGTCAGGAGTTCGAGACCAGCCTGACCAACATGGTGAAACCCCGTCTCTACTTAAAATACAAAAATTAGCCAGGTGTGGTGACAGGCACCTGTAATCCCAGCTACTCAGGGGGCTGAGGCAGGAGAATTGCTTGAACCCAGGAGGTGGAGGCTGCAGTGAGCCGAGATCATGCCACTGCATTCCAGCCTGGGCGACAGAGTGAGATTCCGTCTCAAAAACGAAACAAAATAAAAACCCACATCCACTCTAGACAATGCCGAGAGTGTAGTGGTTCTAAATAGAATGAAGGAGAGGGTTGGAATGAACTTACTGACAGCATAGCAATGGATACAGTTTATTTTATTTCCAGGGGCTATTAAAGTGCTTCGGAAGGTTTTTATGTTAGGTCTATAAGAATACCCTGACAGGCCTTTGAAGTTCTTAGGGAAAAAATAAAACCTCTAAAAATATTAATTTTATGAATGCAATCTAAAAGGTGTAATTAATTAGATGTGTGGAGTAGGCAAATAAAGCACAGGGGGCTAAGGTCTTTAATTTCAGTGCCTCGGATGCTACTTAAAGAACACGTAAAAGATACTTTTCTTATTCAACAATGACTAGCTTTATAAACAGTACAATGAGATTTGTAAGTCGAGCTTTACGGCTCAAGGGAAATTGGCTTTTTGAATATGAAACGTCAATGTTAACTTTAATAAGTTGTGTATTAAGTTAAAACCCGATTAAATAGTAAATAACCCTTCTTGCCCATAAAGTCTTCCACAGGCATTACTGGACCCCACAGACACTGGGTGCGAAGCAGGGGCAAGTCCCCAGTGAGAGTCAGCGGAGACGCCGCAGTGGAAAGACCCTGCGTGGCCAGAACAGGACGGAGGGGAAGGTGAGGGTGGGCAGGTCGGGGGAGCAGGGAGGGGATGTGGGCGGACAGGGGCTCTGTCCTGGGTGCCAAGGGCCTTCCCTGGGAGGCCATGAGGGGCTCACACAGGCATGGTCCGATCACCCGGCTTTTGATCCATTTTGTGCGGGATCATGCCTGCAGAGTGCAGGGTATTTAGTAAAATGCTCAGCAAGGCTGCCCTTCCTGTTTGTGAGAGGGGTCAGTGATGTTCCCTCCTCCTTCCAAATCACTCACCCAGCCGGGTTCCTGTCTGTCTCCTGGGAGGGTGGCAGCAAGACCCACAAACTTCAGAGCCCTGTCTGTGAGCAGGGGGCACCTCAGAACACTGCCTGTGGGTGGGGGGCACCTCAGAACCCCACCTGTGAGCGGGCACCACCCCAGAAACCTGCCTGTGAGTAGGGAGCACCTCAGAACCCCACCTGTAAGCTGGGAAGCACCTTGGAGCCCCCACCTGTGGGCAGGGAGCACCTCGGAGCCCCGCCTGTGAGCAGGGAACACCTCAGAGCCCTGCATGTGTACTGGGAGCACTTCGGCAGGTGGAATCCAGCAGTGACATGCTTCCTCAACACACCCACGGAAGGAAACCCTGGGCCAGGTTGGTGGCCTTGGGGACTGGCATGGGAGGACAGCAGGAGGAATGTTTGCTCAGTGCCCACTGTCTCCTGGGAGGTTCAAGGCACATCCTGTTCTATAGGAAGGACCCTGAGAGCCTGGGGGTGGGGGTCACTGCCGGGGGTGCCAGGGCTGATGAGGGTGAGGAGGCAATGCTGCCACCAAAGGCCTGGCCATGTGTCCTGGCCCTCACCAACGTCACCTCTTTCTGTAGATGTGGAGGGAGACAGAGGTGTGGACTGCGCAGGCCCTGACCCAAGGGGCTGGAGCAAATCCCACCCTGACCCTCCTCTGCTACATTCACAGCAAGTCCTCTGGGCTCTGGGGCCGGGCTCCTCCCAACGCTGTCTGGCTCCTTCATTTCTGCTGCCTCTGGACAGGGAGCCCCGTGGGCAGCACGCTTTTGTCACACACGGCTGCACCCACCCCCAGGTCCCGGCTCGCAGGTGCTCACTCTGCAAATGAAAGAATGAGTGAGTGCGTGAATGAGTCAGTGAGTGAATAACATGAGGAGAGTAGGGCCTGTGTGCGGCTGGCAAGGGCCCGTTCCTGTGTGCGTGGCTGGCAAGGGCCAGCTGACACATGGATGGTACATGGGGCACTCTCTCTCTCTCTCTCTGTTGCTCTCATCAAATGACCCTCCTGTGATGTGCCTGCCCCAGCCCAGGACAGGCCAGTCCCCCCAGTATCTCCTGAAGCCCTTCCCTACTCTTGTCCCCCAACCTGGCTGTGGCCTGTGCCTGTCTCCTGCTGGGTTGTCGCAGGGCATGTAGGTACAACTCTTGTCATACCGGCCGTCCTCTGCCTAACGACCACTTTGGCAAACAGCTGGGGATGATGTTGTTTGGGGGCCATTGCTTATGGCTGACCTGCCCTTGCAGCCAAGGGCCTCTCTGTGTGGCCACAGCATCATGGGGCAGCCTCTCATCCTCTCAGCAGAGCAAAGCACGGGCTGTCTTCGAGGGCTGCTCCATCCAGCAGCACGAGGCCAAATCCATGGGTCACATCCGATCAGAACCCGGCTGTGGGGAGACAGGTTAGCCCGACTCCAGCCTGGCTACACCACCCAGGGGGAGCCGCTTTCTCTCCCTTGTCAACAAGATGGAGATGACACCCTGGAAGTGACCAGGTGGCTGTAGATTGGGGGCAAGACCCCAGGAGTAACCCTGTGATCTGGCGTTGGGCACACAGACAGTTGCTGGCAAATGGTTTGTCTTGTGTTTCCCGTGGCGCAAATGAGCTCCATCTGTTCCTTCTTGGGGCAGGTGGCAAAGGCATTTTCCTGTTTAGCAGAACGTGAGCGTCCCATCTAAGGCAGGCCCACCTCACTGGGTGCCATCGAGGCCGTCTGGGAGCTCACCCAAGGCAGAGCTGGGGGCATGGGAGGTGGCAAAGTGAGTTCCCAGACAGGTGGGGTGGGCCAAGAGAGTGGATCCTGGGGCGCTGGTGGGGACGACGGGGCAGGGGAGGGGGTGGAGAAGCCCCGCGTACGCCCGAGAAGGGAGGCCTTGGCCTGGCACCTGCAACTTCAGCACTGCCTTCCTTGGGGTCTGCGTGGCTTCACCGAAAGCCTGACCGCCGGCAGCCCGCAGCCCCGAGCCATTTGACCTTGGACTCCTTTCAGGCACCCAGAGAGGGCCCATCGATCTCCTTCCTGAGAGCACATTATCCTCGTGCGTCCTTGTGTTAATGTGCTGTGCTAATTTCCCCGTCCCAGCTGCGCACCCCAGGTGCCCAGAGCCTTCCTCACTAGCCCCCCGGGAAGGGGCTCATCTTGGGGAAGGGGCATGTCTCTGAAGTGGGGGGGGTCACCTATGCAAAGTGCTCAGAAGTGTTCAATGCCTCCCTAAGGGCTCTGGCTTCCCTGCTAAGTGTCGCGCAGCCAGCGTGCAGGGCCCTGGGGCCGCCAGCAACAAGTTTGCCAACCTGCCCTCAGCGGAACGTGGAGCTATGAGCCCCCATCACACACAGGCCACATCTCAGCGTACAGAGACTGAGGGGTCAACAGGTTTGGCCTCCCACCCATGGGGCTTTGCATCTCACAAACCGTGGCCCCCTATGAAATCCCCCACCTACTCACCCATCCTAGGGTCAGACGCAGCCACTCAGCCTGGCCTCCAAGGGGCGGCCGGGGACCCTCTTGCCTCAGCTTCCACCTCCACCTCCTTGGCCACTGTACCGGCCCCACGGCCTCCTTGCTGCTCTGACCACGCCCCCTGCACCCCATTTTTCCCCCAGGCCTCCTTGCAGCCTGTGCGGGGCTCCCTCGGGCTGCCCACGCTTTTCCTCAGCACACCATGCAAAGAAATGGTGTCATTCGTATGACACTCTGAGTAAAGTGGAGTTGGCCTGGGGACTCGGAGGAAAGAAATGCGCTATGTTTTCTTTGTATTTTATAATTAGGACAATTTTTCATGTTGAATTTGTATAAAACTTCCAAGTAACTTTTCCTGAATTTTAGTGAGAAACCGGAGTTTGCAGCACTTCATGAGAAACGCGGGCATTTTTCTATAGTGCTTCACACGTAAGACGGCCCAAGTAATTCTCGAGTAATTCTCCATTGGGGCTTTAAATGATTCTATTTTCAAATTCTTGCAGGTCACCGCGGACGAGAAACAGCCCATCCTGATGGGGGTAAATATTTTCAACAAGGGTTGCAGCCGTCAGAAGCCGGCAGCGGCGGGCGCTGTGTTTAGGGATGCCAGCAGCTGGCTCCGTGATTTTTATTTCATTGAAAAATGTAACCTTGCAATGTCCTGTGATCGCAGAGAACCTGGAGGCGACTGGCTGCTCTCACTTCACAAACTTCAAAGCCAATGGCAAAGCCCCCACGTGCAAATTACCCAGCCTGAGTGGCCCAGCTGGCCTCGGCGGCTGAGGGGCTGCTGATGCCCACTGCCTGCAGCTGTGCCTCAAGAGCCCCTAGGGGCCACTCACTCTGCTGCCCCACCCTGACCCTGGGGCACCAGGCATGGGCCTCACCCGAAGCAAGTAGAGGCTTGGGCTGCTGAAGTTGGCAACAGGAGGCAGAGCCTCTGAAGGGCTCCTGTGTCCCTGAGCACAAGTGCTGATGTGGCTGCCGTGGTCATCATCTGCGGGGACCACAGGGCTTGTCCTCTGACCCTGCCACTTAGGCACCTTCTGAGGAGCCCCTGCCAAGGCCGCTGTGGGCAGGAGGCTACTAGCCTAGGGCTTCACCTCCTCCAGGACCCAGAGCCTCTGCTGTGGGTGGGGAAGACCAATATCTCACCACCCCCCTTCACAAATGACCCTCCTTTATAGGTGGTTCATCTCCACAGAATACCTACCCTCCTTCACAGGCGACCCACCTGCACGCGACCCACCTGCACAGGTGACCCTCCTTCACAGGTGACGTTTATTCCCAGATGAACCATCTGCATAGGTGACCCATTTGTACAGGTGACCCATTTGCACAGGTGACAGCCTGATGTGCCCAGTGCACAACTTGGGAAGCTGCACTCTAGCCACCATGGGTTACTGTCCTCACACCCTTCCTATTTTCCCATTTGTTCTCTGCATCTCCCTCCAGAATGTTCCATGAGGGTGTGGTCATCTGTCTGTGGCTCAATGCCCAGAGCAGAACTGTCATCCCTAAGAGGTGTTTAGTGACTGTTTGTTGAGCCAGTGCCTGGGCAGCGGCACCCTGTGGCCGGGTCTGAGGGGCAGCCTGGAGCCCCGTCCTGGCTCCCAGATGCAGCAGGCCCCTTGCCAGGCAGTGCCAGCCCCTGGGCCTGCTGATGAAAGGCGGCATCCCCGGGGGTCTGTGGCTGGAGGGCAGAGGGAGAGCCTGGGACTCCCGGGCAGGCCAGCTGCGAGGGATGGACATGAAGGTTCCTTCCAGTCCAAACCGGCTGGAAATCAGAAAATGATATTTGGGGCAGCAACAATTCAGTGATTTCACTGTATGGGGAGTGAAGCTGGGGAGAGGAGTGAGGAGGGGGACAAGGCCTCAGTGAGGGGTGGTATGTGCTGTCCAGTGCTGGGCGGGGGCCACCAGCCCAACCATGGTCCAGGCCTCGGTGTTTGGCCCGGCTTCTTCGGGGACACTGCCTCCTGCCCACGGCTCCTCCCAGCCCTGTGCCTTGACCCCTGACCTCCCCGCCTCACCCCTGCTGGGCCCCTTTTTCTTTGTCCGTGGAGCCCCTCCCCAGCATGCCCAGCCACCCCCGTGGGCCTTGTCCATGGCTCTGCCCTGCAAATGACAGTGCCTTAGGCCCCAGGACCGGCTGATGGTGGCTTCCTTGGTGAGACCTCAGTTCTCCCAGCTGCTCCTCTGTGCTGCCGCCCAACCTGACGGAGATTTCCCTGGATGACGTTGGGGGAAACTCCCCTGGTTTTCCCTGAAAACCCAGCTCAGCTCTAAAATTCAGGCACCACCTCCCTGCCAGATGCCTCTCGGGACACCTGGAAAGACTCCGGCCCTTTGAGGTTTACTCTGCTGGGCTCACTGCCTGGAGCAAAGCCTGTGGTCAGTTCCTGGTTATTTGTTGGTTTTACTGAGGCCCTTGCCGCGTCCCTGGGTTGCAATGATTTGTGAACTCGTCCTCCTCTCCACCAGGCTGTGAGCCTCCGGGGCAGAGCAGGTTCCTCCGCATGGATTCCTCCCCAGCTTAGCGTGGGCTGGCGTGGGGTGTGCACTCCGTGCACTGGGTGTCGGTGCTGGTGCGGGGAGAGGTGGAAGAGAGAGCAGCTGGAGGGAAGAGTGTGGCTCTAGAGTCACACTCTAGAAGGGGGGTTGTTGTGGGGCTCCAGGGAGGGTGGCAGCTGCCTCCGTGCTCCAGGCCAGCTCTTGCCAAAAGCACGGGCCATTCTGGTCCTCTCTGCTTGCTGGCCCTGGCCGTGGGCTTGGCCCAGGCCAATCTGGGCATGGAGGCTTGCTGGGGCTCTGGCTGCCCTCAGTCTGGCCGGGCAGAGTTCAGGCTCTGAGTCTGCGGTGCTGCCAGGAGAGAGAGCTGCAGACCTGGGAGCATCTCACAGCCCAGGGGAGCAGCAGCAGGGACTCAGGGTTCCAGGTGGAGTCCCAAGCTATTCAAGACAAAAGGGGGGCTTTTGGCTGCCCCGGCTGGCAGGCGTAGGGATGGAGCATACCCCTCAGATTGGAACCAGTGCCTTTGCCATCTCTGGTGGTCACTTGGACTTTTCCAAATGGCAAAGGATGTGGCCACCAACTACTCAAGGTCACACTCTGACAGCTCAAATCCACAGAAAGACAGAGGTCCTCTCTCTCTCCAATGCCGGCATAACATCCACAGAAGGCTTCTGACTGGCATGGCCAGGTCATGCATCTTCTCTGGCAGGGGCGTGGGAGGCAGGGCTGGCAGCCGCAGTGGAACCACCCAGAGGGGAGAGGGTGTTCTCAAAGTCGAGTGAACGCGTTCACCACAGGGAGAAGCAGGGAGGGGTCTGGGCAGACCAAACCGCAGTGTCCAGGCCAACACAGGCTGTGGCTCCAGGGGCATTGGGGAGGGGCTGAACCAGATTCTGAGACAGGACAGAGGGAGCAAGAGGTCCAGGTGTGCCCCGTCTCTCCTGCTCCTTCCTGGGCAGCGCCCAGCTCTGGACACCAGTCCCAAGTCTCCAGGAGTCTCTGGGTCTATCCGGGACCCGGGCTGAGGAAGCAACCCCATCTGGGACACGCTGCTCTTGTGTTACAGGGAAAGAGCGAGAGACAGACCCCAACCGCGCAATAGTGTTGACATTAAAAAAACAACAAGTTTATTTTCTAATTTGCATACAGCAAAATTAACTTTTTTGCATGCAGTTTTGACAAATGCATAGTCACATAACCATTACCACAGTCAAAATGCAGAACCGTTCCATCCCTTCCCCTGCCCACACCAATTCCAGTGCAGTGAAAGCCGCCCCTTCCCCTTAACCCATGGCACTCAGGATCTGTGCTCCATCCCTATCGTGTCCATGACATTCTCCGGAATGTCATACGAACAGGATGACGCAGTGCGCGGTTTCTGACCTGGCACCTTTCGCTTGGCGTAATCCCTCTGAGATGTGTCCACATTGTGGTGTGAACTGATGCTTCCTCTTTTCGTCTTGCTGAGTGACACTTCATCGCGTGACCGTATTGTAGTCTATTAATCCACTCTCCACTTGAGGGACATCTGGGTTGCTTCCAGTTTGAGCGATCGTCAATAAAGCTCCTCTAACCATTGACATTCGGGCGACTGTGGCAACACAGGTTTCATTTCGCCTGGGTAAGTGTCCAGGATGGTGACTGCTGTGTCCTGTGGCAAATGCGTGCGGAATGCTACGGGACGCTGTTAACCATTTTTCACACATTCTCACCAGCAACGCAGGAGAGTTCTGGTCACTTTGCAGCCTTGCTGGCATTTGGTACTGTCAGGGATTTCGTTTCGTTTTTAATTTTAACTCTTCTCACCAGTGTGGAGTGGTACCTCACTGGGGGTTTAATGTGCATTTTCCTAATGCGTGATGATGAGCAGCTTTTCAAGTACCTGTATTTTTAAAAAAAATTTATCTCTGACGGGGAGCGGTGGCTCATGCCTGTAATCCCAGCACTTTGGGAGGCTGAGGTGGGCGGATCACCTGGGTCAGGAGTTTGAGACCAGCCTGACAAACATGAAGAAACCCCATCCCTACTAAAAAAATATATATAAATATATATAAATAAATATATAAATATATATAAATATATGTATAAATATATATAAATAAATAAATATATGTATAAATATATATAAATAAATATATAAATGTATAAATATATGTATAAATATATGTATAAATATATATAAATATATAAATATATAAATATATATAAATATATAAAAATATAAATATATAAATATATATAAATATATAAAAATATAAATATATAAATATATATAAATATATAAGTATATATAAATATATAAAAATATATAAATATATAAATATATAAAAATATATAAATATATAAATATATAAAAATATATAAACATATAAATATGTAAATATATATAAATATGTAAATATATATAAATATATAAATATATAAATATATAAATATACATATAAATATATATAAATATATATAAATATATATAAATATATAAATATATAAATAAATATATAAATATATATAAATATATAAAATATATAAATAAATATATAAATATATATAAATATATAAATATATAAATATATACAAAAATATAAAAATATAAATATAAAAATATATAAATATATATAAATATATAAATATATATAAATATATAAATATATATAAATATATAAATATATATAAATATATAAATATATATAAATATATAAAAATATATATAAATATATAAAAATATAAAAATATATAAATATATATAAATATATAAATAAATATATAAAAATATATAAATATATAAATATATAAAACCATAAATATATATAAATATATAAAAACATATAAATATATAAATATATAAAAATATAAATATATATATATAGATATACATAAATATAAATATATATAAATATATAAAAATATATATAAAATTAGCTGGGCGTGGTGGTGCATGCCTGTAATCCCAGCTACTCAGGAGGCTGAGGCAGGAGAATCGCTTGAACCGGGGAGGTGGAGGTTGCAGTGAGCCGAGACCACGCCATTGCACTGCAGCCTGGGCGACAGAGCAAGACTCCTCAAAAAAAAAAATTTCCGTAGGTTATTGGGGTACAGGTGGTGTTTGGTGACATGAGTAAGTTCTTTAGTGGTGATTTGTGAGATTTTGGTGCACCCATCACTCAAGCGGTATACACTGCACACCCGCTTCCCACCCTTTCCCCGAGTCCCCAAAGTCCATTGTGTCATTCTCCAAAGTCTACTGTGTCATTCTTATGCCTTCGCATCCTCATAGCTTAGCTCCCACTTAGAGTGAGAATATACGATGTTTGGTTTTCCATTCCTGAGTTACTTGACTTAGAATAATAGTCTCCAATCTCATCCAGGTCGCTTCGAAGGCCATTAATGTATTCCTTTTTATGCTGAGCAGTATTCCATTGTGTGTGTGTGTGTGTGTGTGTGTGTGTGTGTGTGTGTGTGTATCTATATATATATATATGCCACAGTTTCTTTATCCACTCATTGATTGATGGGCATTTGAGTTGTTTCCACAATTTTGCAATTGCGAATTATGCTGCTATAAACATACATGGGCAAGTATCTTTTTTGTACAGTGACTTTTTTTCCTCTGGGTAGATGCCCAGTAGTAGGGTGGCTGGATCAAATGGTATTTCCATTTTTAGTTCTTTAAGGAATCGCCACACTGTTTTCCATAGTGGGTATACTAGTTGACATTCCCACCAGCAGTGTAGAAGGGTCCCCCGTTCACCGCATCCACGCCAGCTTATTTCAAGTACTTATTTGCCATGTGCTTATATCTTCATTGGTGAAGTGTCTGTTCAAACTTTTTGCCCATTTTATTATTGAATTAATAATATGCTTATTATTGGGCTTTAAGAGTTCTTTATGGCAGGTGCGGTGGCTCACGCCTGTAATCCCAGCACTTTGGGAGGCCAAGACGGGGGGATTGCTTGAGGCCAGGAGTTCATGACCAGCCTGGGCAACGTGGTGAAACCCTGTCTCTACAAAAAATACAAAAATTAGCCAGGCATAGTGGTGCCCACCTGTAGTCCCAGATACTCAGGAGGTTAAGGCAGGAGGATCCTTGGAGCCCAGGAGGTCAAGGTTGCAGTGAGCCATGATCACTCCTCTGCACTTCAGCCTGGGAGACAGAGTGAGACCCTGTTTAAAAAAAAAAAAAAGTTCTCTATATATTCTGGATACAAGTCCTTTTACAGATTTGTGGTTTATAAATATTTTCTCCTAGCCTGTGGTTTGTCTTTTTGTTCTCTATAACAATGTCCTTTTGCCAGGTAAACTTTAATAAATTAAATGTATCATTGTTTTCTATTATGGATCCTGCTTTAGTGCAGCCGTCCTCAACCTTTTTGGCAGCAGGGACCAGTTTCAGGGAAGACCATTTTTCCAGGGTAGGAGGATGGTTTCTGGATGAAACTGTTGCACCTCAGATCATCAGGCATTAGTTAGATTCTCATAAGGAGTGCACAACCTGGATCCCTCACATGCGTGGTTCACAACGGGGTTCTCACACCTAAGAGAATCTCATGCAGCCGCTGGTCTGACAGGAGGTGGAGCTCAGGACGTAATGCTCGCTGGCCCACCACTCACCTCCTGCTGTGCGGCCTGGCTCCTAACAGGCCATGAAAAGGTACTGCTCTGTGGCCTAGGGGGTTGGGGACCCCTGCTTCAGTGGGTGTATATAAGAAAAGTTCACTTAACTCAATGTCCCAATTATCTCTCTCTAAAAGTTTTATAGTTTTACGTTTTACATTTAGGTATGTCATCTATTCGAGTTAATTTTGTATGAGGTGTGAGGTGTGGTGGCAGCCCCTGGTTTTTCATGTCTTGTCTAATTGTTCCAGCACCATATGTTGAAAAGACAATCCTTTCCTATTGAATTGCCTTTGCACCGTTGTCAAAAATCAGTTGGTCATATGTGCGAGTGGCTGTCTTCCTGGACCTTCTACTCTGGGCCACACTGATTTGATTGTGTAGCTTTATAGTAGCTACTTACTATAAAATTAGGTAGTGTGGGCCGGGCTCAGTGGCTCATGCCTGTAATCCCAGCACTTTGGGAGGCCAAGGAGGGTAGATCACCTGAAGTCATGGGTTCGACACCTGCCTGGCCAGCATGGTGAAACCCCCATCTCTACTCAAAATACAAAATTAGCCGGGTGTGGTGGCACATGCCTGTAATCCCAGCTACTTAGGAAGCAGAGGCAGGAAAATTGCTTGAACCTGGGATGTGGAGGTTGCAGTGAGCCGAGATTGCGCCATTGCACCCCAGCGTGGGCAACGAGAGCAAAACTCTGTCTCAAAAAAAAAAAAAAAAGAAAGAAAAAAAATTGGGTAGTATGTGTACCTCACCTTTATTTTTCTCAGTCACTTCCTACTCTTAACCTTTTGCATGGAGATAATTTTAGATTTACAGAAGAGTTGTGAGAATACTACAGGTATTTCCTGGACACCTTTCATCCAGTTTCCCCTAACATTAACATCTTATGTAGCCATAGTATAATGATCATACTAAGAAATTAACATTGATACATTGCTATGATTAAAGTAGAGATTTCAACAGTTTTTCCACTAAAGTTCTTTTTTGTTCAAAAATTGAATGATTCCACATTTTTTTTTTTTTGAGACGGAGACTCACTCTGTCGCCCAGGCTGGAGTGCAGTGGCTCCATCTCCGCTCACTGCAAGCTCCGCCTCCTGGGTTCAGGCCATTCTCCTGCTTCAGCCTCCCGAGAAGCTGGGACTACAGGCGCCTGCAACCACGCCTGGCTAATTTTTCGTATTTTTAGTAGAGACGGGATTTCACCGTGTTAGCCAGGACGATCTAGATCTCCTGACCTCGTGATCCGCCCACCTCGGCCTCCCAAAGTGCTGGGATTACAGGCGTGAGCCACCGCGCCCGGCCAAATGATTCCACAACGCATGTAGCTTTTGAGTCTCCTCCATCTCCTGCAACCTCTGACGGTTCTTCAATCTTTCCTTGTCTTTTATGAAAAGACTTGGAAGTTATTTTGTAGACAATTTCTCAGCTTGGGTTTGACTGATGTTTTCTCATGGTAACACTGACGCCTTGAACTACTGGGAAGAGCTGCATTAGAGATGTACCCTACATCAGGGGCCATCCCATGTGTCTTGATGATGCAAGGCAGGTGAGCCCCGAAATTGGGGTTCGGCCCAGGAAGGTCCTTAGCTTCACCCAGGAAAGAATTAAAGGGCAAGCCGGTGGTTTTAGCAGTTAGTTTTCGAAACAGGAGCAGAAGTACTGCAGCAGAAGTACTGCTCCTTTGCAGAGCAGGGCTACCCCACAGGCAGTGTGCCCAGAGCAGCAGCTCAGAGGCAGATCTGCGTGATCTCAGCTCACTGCAACCTCTGCCTCCCGAGTTCAAGTGATTCTCCTGCCTCAGCCTCCCAAGCAGCTGGGATTACAGGCGCCACCACGCCCGGCTAATTTTTGTATCTTTAGTAGAGGTGGTGTCTCACCGTGTTGGCCAGGCTGGTCTCAAACTCCCGCCCTCAGGCGATCCACCCGCCTTGGCCTCCCAAAGTCCTGGGATTACAGGCATGAGCCACCGTGCCCGGCCCTGCGCTCATATTTATAACCAGCTTTAATTATATGCAAATTAAAGGGTGAATTATGCAGAGTATTCTAGGAAAAGGGTGTTAACTTCCTGGTCCTTAGGTTGCTGCCATGGAAGGGGGGTGGTAACTTCCGGGTGTTGCCATGGCAATGATAAATTGACATGGCACTGGTGGGCGTGTCTTATGGAAAGTGGCTTGCTTCCCTGTCCTGTTTTAGCTAGTCCTCAATTTGGTCCGGCGTCCAAGCCCCACCTCCTACCTCATTATCACTGGTGATACTCGCTGTGATTCTTGAGTAAGGTGGTGGCCGCCAGGTTTCTCCTCTGCACAGTTAGCTGTTTTTCCTTTGTCACTCCTAAAATTTTGGAAGAGATACTTTGATGCTGTGCAAGCGTCCTGCTCCTCCTGAAACTTCTGAGGCAGGAAAATAGGGTCTGAAAACAGGGAGCCTTCACTTCAGCCTCTAATTGGTTGTGGGCCAAGTTTAGTTGCATAGGGTGTAACTTCATTTCAGCCGCTGATTGGTCAAAGGCCAAGTCTTCATTTACATAGGGTGTAACCAATAGGAAACCTCTACAGGGTACTTAAACCCCAGAAGATTTTGCTACTGGGTTCTTGAGCCACTTGCTGGAGTCCGCTTTCACCCTGTGGAGTATGCTTTCACTTCAATAAATCTGTGCTTTTGTGGCTTTGTTCCGTCATTGTTTTGTTGGTGTCGTTTGTCCAATTCTTTGTTCAACAAGCCAAGAACCTGGACAACCTGTAGTCAAAACCCTCCACCAGTAACACTTCTGCCTACTAATCTTGGCATTCAGCAGTGGACCTCCCTGTAGTAGTTACGACTGCGATGTTCTAATGGTGATGGTCTATTTTCCTAATTCTTTCTATAGCTCCTATTTGGAATTCTCCTGGAAGAAAGAATGGTCCCTTCTCCATCTATTACTTCGTTTATTTATTTAGTTCATTATTCATGATATCAGTATGGACTCGGGTTGTTTATTTTATTATTTGGGTTCAAATCCAGTATTTTGTCTATTTTGATGCTTAAATTGTTCCAGCGCTCCTGTGCTTTAACATGTGCCCATCTCTTTTTTCAGACCGATTCTCTACCTTCTAGCACCCTAAGATGTTCTAAGCTCACCTTGTTCTTTTTCTCCTGCACTTTTTCACATGCTTGTTTGTTATCTGTACGTCCTTTTCAATGACTTGTTGGTGTAAATCTTTCCCCCTTTTAAAAAGCTCTGTTTGTTGTCTTCATTTTGACCTTTGAGAGCTTTTAAAAAAAATTACAGTAGTCTCCCGTTATCTGCGGTTTTGCTTTCTGTGGTCTCAGTTGCCCATGGTATATAATACAGTGAGATATTTAGAAAGAGAGAGAGGAGACAGGGAGAGAGGGGTGGAGGGTAGAGGAAAGGGGGGAAAGAGAGAGACCACATTCACGTAATTTTTATTACATCATATTGTCATAATTGCTCTATTTTATTACTACTTACTGTTGTTAATCTCTGTCTGTCCCTAATTTACAGATTAATCTATATCATAGATACATATGTAGAGGAAAAGCATAGTGTATATCACCGTCCGTGAAATCACTGTCCGTAATTTCAGGCATCCACTGGGGGTCTTTGCATGTATCCTCCTCAGATAAGAAGGTGGGAGGACTGCTGTATATATATTCTGGATATTGTGTTTTGTCAGAAATGTGATTTGAAAACATAGTCTCTCGGCCTGTGGCTTGTTTTTTCATGCTCTTAATAGTTTTTTTTTTTTTTAACTTGTTTACATAGAAGTTCCAGATTTGGATAAGGTTGAACTTATCAGCGCTGTTCTTTGGTGCATGATGTTATTTGGTCTTCTCTAGGCACTCTGCCCAATTCATGGCCACACTGACTTTTCTCCTATGTTTTCTACTAGAAGTTTTAAAGTTTTATACATTTTACAAATGTTCCAATTTGATTTGATTTTGTTATAAGGGTTAAAGACTAAGCTATTTAATTTCACATGAATGCACAATTTCCTCAGCATATTTGTTGAAAAAATTGCCATGTTTTTCTATTCAATTTCTTTTGCCCCTCTGTCAAAAAACATGTGACAGTATTTCCCTGGATCTATCTGTGGGCTTTATTCTGTTCTGATGACCTGTATGTCTGTCCTCACACTAAGACCACACTGTTTTGATTACTATAGCTTTGCAGCAGGTCTCTAAATTAGGTGGTGTGAGTTCTCCAACTTTGTTCTCCTTTTACAAACTTCTAGTGGAGGCTCTATTAGTTAATTTGCTTTTCCATAGACAGTTTTGATTCAACGTGTGTTATCCAAAAAACAAGCCTGCTGGCATTGCATTAAACCTATAAATGAAATTGTACAGAAGTGACATCTTAACAATTCTCAGTCTTTCTTGCTATAAATCTCACTATTTAGTTCTTGTTTGATTTCTTTTATCAATGTTTGTAGTTTTCAGCATGCAGACGTTGCATACTTAAAAATTTATACTTTGGTTGGGCGCGGTGGCTCATGCCTGTAATCCCAGAACTTTGGAAGGCTGAGGTGGGTGGATCACTTGAGGTCAGGAGTTCAAGATCAGCCTCACAAACGTAGTGAAACCTCTTCTCTACTAAAAATATAAAAATTAGCTGGGTATGGTGGTGTGCACCTATAATTCCAGGACAGAAATGCTTGAATAGGAATGGTGAGAGAGGACATCCTTGCCTTGTTTCTGATATTGGGAAAAAACATTCACCTATAAGTTTAACATTAGCTGTCAATGTTCTTTTTCACATCAAGAAGCTCCCTATTACTTACAGTTTGTTGAGAATTTTTTTCGTCATCAATAGATTTTGAATTTTATCAATTACTTTTCCTTCATTTACTGAGATAATTACATGGCTTTTCTTCTGTAGTATATTAATATGATGTATCAGGTTAAATTAAAATTTTGTAACCTCCTTTGTATTTCTGGGATAAAACATGATCGTGCTAATACTGTATTGAGAGTTTGCACACTTTATTCATGTGAAATATTGGTCTGTAATTTTCTCTCTCTTGCAGTGTATTTGTGTGGATTGATATTGGGGTATTGCTGGAATTATGAATTGGGAAATGTTTTTCCTATTTTATTTTCTGGGAGAGATTGTGTTGAATTGATACTGTCTCTTTCTTAAACATTTGGTAGAATTCTCCAGCAAAATCAGCTGGGACTGAAGTTTTCTTTTTTCCTCTAAGCACTGCTTTAACTGTATCCGTCAAATGTTGGCATATTTTATTTTCATTTTAATATCACTTTAAAATATTTTTAAATTGTTCTTGACACTTGCTCTTTTATCTATGGGTTATTATAAGTGCATTGTTTAGTTTATAAGTGTTTTTTTCTTCTACCTTTCTGTTATTGATTTGTAGTTTACTGTTATGGTTAAAGATTAAAAGGTTTATATTCTTTTAGATTTGCTGAAATTTGTTTTATGGTCCAGATGCAATCTCCTGTTATTGGGTGGAGTCTGTATATGCCAATTAGGCCTAATAGTGTTGTTCAAGTCTTTGTTCTTACTGATTATCTGTTTACTTTTCTGTCCATTCCTGAGACAGAGTTGACATCTCCAACTATAATTGTGTGGATTCATCCATTTCTCATTCCAGTTCCATCAGTTTTTGACTCATGTATTTTGAATCTGTTGCTAGTTGCATACACATTTAAGATTGTTATATTCTTGGAGAATTGACTCCTTCATCGTTATGTAATGTTTCTCTTTATCTTTGACAGTATTCCTTTCTCTAAAGTCTACCTTGTCTGATATTAATATAGTTACTCCAGTTTTCTTTTGCTTAGTGTTTGCATGATCTGTATTTTCTTTTCCTTCACTTTTTGTAACACATTTATTATATCTTTATATTTCAAGCAGGTTTCGTATGTACAGCACGCAATCGAAACAATCACATCTGACAATCTCTGCCTTTTATTTGGTATGTTTATACAATTCATAAGTAATGTGATTATGGATATGGTTTGATTAAAATCCATCATTTTACTTACCATTTTCTATTCTATTTTTTCTTCGTTTCTTTTTTCCCATTTTTTTGGCCTTCTCTTTCGTCAACTGAGCAATTTTTATGATTCCATTTTATCTCCTCTACTGACTTATTATTTATACCTCTTCGAAAACCTTTTAGTGGTTGACCTTTGCCTCAAATGTACATCTTTAACTAATCAGAATCTACCTTCAAATAATATTGTACCACCTTGTATGTAGTATAAGGACTTTAAAATAGCATATTCCGAATTTCTTCTTCCTGGCCTTTGTGCTGTTGCTGTCACACCTTTACTGTTATATATGCTATAAACACACAATACGGTGCAACCTTTTTTTTTTTTTTGAGACAGAGTATCACTTTGTGGCCCAGGCTGGAGTGCAGTGGTGCGATCTCGGCTCACTGCAAACTCTGCCTCCCGGGTAAACGCCATTCTCCTGCCTCAGCCTCCCGAGTAGCTGGGACTGCAGGTGCCCGCCACCACGCCCGGCTAATTTTTTCTATTTTTTAGTAGAGACGGGGTTTCACCGTGTTAGCCAGGATGGTCTCAGTCTCCTGACTTCGTGAGCCGCCCGCGTCGGCCTCCCAAAGTGCTGGGATTACAGGCGTGAGCCACTGCGCCCGGCCTGTTTTAAATGTTTTTTTTTTTTTTTTAGAGCAATTAGAAACTAGAAAAAAATAAATTTAATTTTACCTTCATTTATTCCATTTCTAGCGCTCTTCATTTCTTTGTGTAGAGCTAAGTTTCAGTTACTATCCTAGTCCTTCCACCTGAAGAACTTCTTCAGCATTCTCTTTAGAGTAGGTCTGCTGGAAATGCATTTTCTCCATTTTTGTTTCTTTGAGAAATTTATTATGTCTCCTTCATTTTTGCGAAGATATTTTTCTCGGAGTTAACTGGTTTTTTTTGTCCTCCAGCACTTTAAAGATTCACTCCATTGTTTTCTGTTTTGCATGATTTCTGATGAGAACTCTGTTGCAAATTGCGCGTTTACTCTTCCATAATGCTTGCCCGCCACCCTGCCCTGGTCTGGCTCGCTTCAGTGTTATCTTTTTGTCTTTGGTTTCCAGAGCTGGCATATAACATGCCTATGTGTGGTTCTTTGTTTGCTTTCGTTTTGGTGTGTATGCTAGCTGGTGTTCTCTGAGCTTCTTGGATCTGTCTTCTGGTGTCTGTTGTTCATTTCAGTAAATTTCTGGTCATTATTTCTTTAAATACTTCTTCTGCTCATTCTCCCTCTTCTACTTCTAGGATTCCAGGTATGCGTATGTTAGGAGTTTGATATAGTCTCCTAGCTCTTGGATGTTCTAGTCCATGTGATGCTCATTCTTTTTTCTCTTTTTTCCAGTTTGGGTAATTGTTTTTGACTCGTCTTCAAGGTCAGTGATTCTTTCTCAGCTGTGTAGCATCTACTGATGAGCCCATTGAGGGCACTCTTCCTCTCTGTCTCTGTGTTTCTCATTTCTAGCGTTTCCATTTGATTCTCCCTTACAGTTTCCATCTCTCCGTTGAAATAACCCATCTGATCATGCACTGTCCCCTTTCTTCATTACAGCCTTCAACAGAGTAATCATAGTTATTAAAATTTCCTGCCCAGTATTTCCAACATGTGTATTCTTTATCTCTTATGAGTGTGATTTTTTTTCCCTTGTCTTTTTGTATGCATCAGAATTTTGTGTTAAAAGCCAGGCATCTTATACGGGCACAACTTCCTCCTACCGGACCCTTTGTAGGAGGTTTAAGTTAATCTAGTTAGGAGCTGGGCTAGGTTTGAGATGTGTTACTGTGATCACTCTAACTGCTTCAAGCAGCTGCATAGATAGTCTGTGTTTAGCAACGTATGACTCTGAATTCTAGGTTTTCCTTTTGCACTGTGCTTCAGAGAGATTTCCTATGCTGGTTCCCTTCTCCTCTCCCTTTCTCGGCATCGTTCTGCTGTTTCTGGTGTTGCAGATCTTATTAGCTTGGTGGCAGGAGGTGGAGGTGAGTGCGCTTGCCGAGGCTCTGGATAAGCCTTAGTCTTAGGTTTACTGTGGCCCTGGTTCTTGGGATTGTGGCCTTCTCGGATCTTCTGCTCTTTTTCTAGCCATGGTTGTGGGCTCAGTCCTCAATCCTGTCACCCTCCCTGAAGAGTAAAGTCCTCTTTCCCCAGTCTCCTTTAGCTGCAATGCGTTTTCACTGATGTCCTGCTCAGGTTTAGGCTCTTGTACCTTGATGGACAGTGGGGAGAAGGGCCTGGCTGGAATTTCACACCAGTTCCATGTGGCTGCTCAACCCCTCTCCGAGGTCCACCACAGTGGACAAAACTTGGGGACTTTTCCAGACTTTTCTGTGAGCATCCAGCGGGGTTTGTGAGACAGAGCCAGTAGATGATGGGGAATCCTCCAAATTCTGCAGCCGCAGGAGTCTACCCTGTCCTGCCAGCCTGCATGCCTTCACCAATTTGCCTGCCATTCCTGCTGAACTCTTCTTACCAACGTGCCATCGCAAATTCCCAGTGAGTGTGCTCAGTCTCCTCTCTGAGCAGGTGTGGGCTTGGCTCCGAGGGCCCTGCTGCCTGCTCATGGCAGTGCCCGGGACGGTGCCGCAGCCCCTGCCCAGTGCCCAGAGAGCAACGCTGACGTCCAGAGGCTCAGCCCTGTCCTTGTGAGAGCCTCCCACACAGGGCCTGCATGGCGGTCTCCCTTATTATGACCACTTTTGGGGCACAGGAACCAAGGTGCAGAGAGGTTTAGGCATTCACCCTAAGGGCCTCAGCACCAGCCACATCTCAAGCCTGCCGGCCTGGCCCCAATGCCTTGGCCTTTCCTACCTTCTCCTTTGCCACACCATGTGGGAGGCAACAGCACATCCAGGAGCAGGGCTGGGCCGTCCCACCCCCCGCCTGGGCAGAGGGGTACCATGGAGCTTAATCTGTCTCGGGGAGGTGACCCGTACGTGGAATCTGTCGGGCAGCCCAAGGCTTGCCAGTTTAAGGATGCACGATTTTACTCCAGGTCAATCATCCCCCAGGCTGCCCGAGGCTTTGGAGCTTGCTGAACAAACTCCTGTTCTCTTCCCACGGACTGACTCATCTGGAAGCTTCCATCTGGGTAGTGGGCTGGGCTAGCTCTGGGAGGCCACGTGGCGTCCACCCCAGATGATTTCGCGCACCCCCTACAAGGGCTATGCCATTCAAAGAACACGCCTGAGCCTCCGGCTTCCTCCGAATAATGAGGCTGTTGTTACGCAAGGGCCCGGGTTAAATTGCCCCCAAACGGGGACTGGGATGCGCTTACTGCTGCGCTGCTGCTCGGTCAGCCAGCGTCTGGGATGGGAGCGCTCCTGCATTTTACATGACTGCGGGGCCTGTTCCTTGCGCCTGTCTGGTCGCGTCACATCATGGAGGGTTTCTCGGGGCGGCCGGCCGCCTCTGAGCACAGCCAGGGTGGTGTTTGCAGCACAGCTGCTGCCTAGGCCTCGCTGCGGAGGTGCTGGGCCACGGCCCCGTGGAGGCAGAGCCGCAGGGCCATCGACATGTCCTTTGAAAACGGGCATTTCCCCAACTCATGCAGGTGGAGGGGAGAGCGAAGCCAAATGGGACACCGGCCCCCACACACTGCCCCGGCTCCTGCATTTCCGGAGATGGAAACCTGGAGAGCAGCTGGGTATGGCGCATGATTGCCTGAACCATATGAAGGCTGGCGCTGTATGTGTGAACGCATGTGTGGCGGAACATGTGTGCGCCTGCACCTGTGTGTATGAATGTGTGTGCACATGTGTGCATGAATGCGTGTACCTGGACCTGTATGAATGTGTGTGCACATGTGTATGAATGTGCACATGTGTGTATGAATGTGTGTGCCTGCACCTGTATGAATGTGTCTGCACGTGTGTATGAATGTATGTGCCTGCACCTGTGTGTATGAATGTGTGCACATGCGTATATGAATGTGTGTGCCTGCACCTGTGTGTATGAATGTGTGCACACTTGTGTGTCTGAATGTGTGTGCCTGCACATGTATGTGTGTGCACGTGTGCATGAATATGTGTGCCTACCCCTGTGTGTATGAATATGTGTGCACATGTGTGCATGTATGTGTGTACCTGCACCTGTATGAATGTGTGTGCACATGTGTGTATGAATGTGTGTGCCTGCACCTGTGTGTGAATGTGTGTGCCTGCACATGTGTGTATGAATGTGTGTGCCTGCACCTGTGTGTGTGAATGTGTGTGCCTGCGCATGTGTGTATGAATGTGTGTGCACATGCATGTGTGCCCGCACCTGTGTTTATGAATGTGTGTGCACTGGCATGGAGTGTGCATGTACATGAACGTACGTGTGCATGCGTCTGTGTGTGTGCATGGATCTGTGTGCAAGTGTGTGGAGTGTGCATGTGTATGAATGTACGTGCATGTGTATGAATGTACGTGCATGTGTGCACACGTGTGGAATGTGTGGGTGTGCATGTGAATGTGCACACACGTGTATTGTGTGCATGAGTGTGCACAAGTGTGAGGGTGTATGTGAATGTATGCATGTGTATGTGCATTGGGTGGATTTGTACATGTATGTGCACACATGCGTGTGTGGGCCCACATGTGCATATGTGCATGGTGTGCATATGTGTTTGAGATGGAGAGAGCGCTTCTCGTGGGCACCGTCCATGCCCAGCAGATTCCCAGCAAGTGAATCAATGATTCAATAACTCAATAATTATCAATGAACCAATGACCCAAAGAAGAGGAGGCATTTGACACTCACGGGCCAACACCCAACCTGCTACACAGGGCATCAGACACACCGTGGGGTCATAGCACAGACCTGGATTTCCTATTTCCAAATCGTGAGGATAATGAACATTTTGTTTCTTAGGATCTTGAAAACGTGGGTTGGACTGCGTCACCCCGACCCCTGCCTCAAAGCCCCTCCGTGGTTGCCTACAGCACAGCTTGAAGCCCCTTGGTTCTGCTTCCCGGGCCTGCAGCGCTGGCCCCAGCCTGGCCGAGCGAGCATTTGTTCACCCAAGACCTTTCCCCTCCTGCCCTCGTGGAGCCTCCACAAGGAGTAAACAACCACTTCTGTGAGCCTTGATCTCCCTGTTTGTAAAATGCAGATAAAACGCCTTCCTAGCTGAGCAGTAGGATCGGGGGCCGCCCCCTGCTCAGCATGGGCCTGGGTGCAGGAACAGGAATTTTCTTTCTGCTCTGTGAGCCTATCTTTTCAAGGGTAGGGTCCATGTTTTCTCCATTTCAGGGTCCCTCAAAGCATCAACTCTGTGCCTTGCAGACAGCGGACACGTAACACAGCCACGCGGCGTGAACATGAGCAGACTTCTTTTTTCCAGGATGTGCACGGTTTCCACGACAATGCCCACTGCACGCCTTATGGCCTCACCAGAGACGTAAAGCAGATGCCAAGAAACTTCCCCCCAAAATGGGCTGGCTTGCCAAGCCCAGGACCGCCTGTCCAGCTGGGGCTGGGGGCAAGGATCCCATTTTCTGTGACTCTCTTTGCTCTGATGGTCAGGTTCACCGGCCGTACGTGTAATCTGAAGCATTCGGTAGCGATCTAATTAAATGTTAACACATCATTAAAGTGATTTGCGATAAGCACAGTTAACAGTTTGATAAATCCAGTCCGGGCTGACTCCATGCTGAAAACAATCACTCCCAATCAGGAGTGGGCTGTTGACATCCGCTGAATGTTGAGGGGACCCCCGTACAGCTGCCATGTGCCCAGCCCTGGCGTCGGTGCCCAGGGATGCTGGAAGGGCTGTGTGCGGACGTGGGGTGCTGTGGTGGGATGGGGGCAGCAGTTAATCCCAAGGCCGCTGGTGTCTGGGTGTCCCAGCAGCAGCCTGCACGCCTTGCATGGGATTAAGGAAGATCTTGGTTAACAGTCTGTAATGAAGGCGGCCTCCCGGTTGAAGGCTGTGAACTATTGCTTGTTAATGGGATTAATTGCCTCGGGAAGTAACTCTGCATTTCTGTGCATCTGGTGATGTGGGCAGAGGGATAGGAGCTATTTTTGTTTGAATATCAATACCGTGAGTTGGAGGCAGGGGAGAGATGGCACAGGAGGGAAGCACATTTGCTCAGGGGAGAGAACAGCTTCAGAAAATACAAACGGCCTAGTAGCAAAGCTCTCAATAAAGGACACATAGAGAAGTCCTGAAAGAGCAAAAGGGGCCTACAGAAGATCAGGGCCTGTGGGAGCTGGATGGCACTGGGGGACCATCTTAGGGAATCCTCTTCATTTGACAGCCAGGGAAACTGAGGACCAGAAGGAGAGACAACCTCACCGTGGAGGTGGGGAACTTTAGTGCCAAGGTAGGCCTGGAACCTGGGGAGCCATGTTGCTGGTGAGCAGGTGCAGGCTGTGTCCCCGGAAGGCTGGGCATGGGGTTCAGCTGGAGGCTGGTCCAGGGCCCCAGTGCCCGCCGCCTGGTGGAGTGCAGTGAGCATGACAGGGGGTCAGTGCCCTGGGAGTGCCTCCCCCACACCCTTCACGCGTGGTCTGGCCTTGCTGCGTGATTCCCAGTTCCCGGAAGTGAGGTCAAAGATTCTGATCCGATCTAAGGCTCACTTTTCAATTGCTAGGTCACTCGCCGGCGAGTTCAATTTGACTGAAAGATAACTTACAGAGCACCAACCATGTGCCAGGCACCTGGGTGCGAGGACATTCATGGTGCCTTCCTCTCTCATCTCTACTTGAGACTCCACTCGAGGGAGGGGGCACCACCTCACTCCCTCCTGGACTTGGCCGCATAGGTCTTACAGTGGCGTGACCTGTGCTGGGACCACACACATCACTCCTGACACCTGGGAGCTCTGCACCCTCATCTCTCTGGCTCCTGCTCGTTCCTCCTGTAGGTCACGGCTTCAATGCTGCTCTCCAGAGAAGCCCCCTGACTCCCAAGTCTGGACTAGGTGTCCCCATGTGGTCCCCTGCAGCCTCCACACTTCGCTTAACCCCCTCCACTTCATTTACCTTTCTTACCTGTGTCTTTCTTACCTGACTGTGCACCCCTGCCAAGGCTGCCCAGCCCTGAGGCCAGGGCAGACTACTTCTGGAAGCCCCAGTTTCCTTATCTGTAAAATGTCAGGAGAATAGCCCCTACCTCACAGAGCCATTATAAGAAGAATAATGGAACTTAACTAAATAACTAAAAAGTTACTGAATTAATCCATGTTTACGCTGCTGATAAAGACATACTCGAGACTGGGTAATTTATAAAGTAAAAAAGGTTTAATGGACTCACAGTTCCATGTGGCTGGGGAGGCCTCACAATCATGACAGAAGGTGAAAGGCACGTCTTACCTGGCTGCTGACAAGAGAGAACTTGTGTAGGAGAACTCCCATTTATAAAACCATCAGGTCTCATGAGACTTATTCACTATGATGAGACCAGCATGGGAAAGACTCACCTCCATAATTCAATTACCTCCAACTTGGTCCCTCCTACAACACATGGGATTTGTGGGAGCTACAATTCAAGATAAGATTTGGGTGGGGACACAGCCAAACTATATCAGTTACACAGCAACAAAACCAGCGATTTCTATCTTAGACTAGAGAAATTGGATTGGACAGACTGGCCACTCTAGGATCCTTCCTAGTAGGTTTCTGCTCATTAACTATGCCCCTGATGTTAACATGTACTCTTTCATGTCTTTTCTTTCTCTCAAAAGCTGGGCTAAAATTTTTTAAAAAATCATTACTGGGATTAAGGACTCTGAGAAGTAAATCAAGATGTTTAGTATAGAGAGATCCAAAACCTTCCAGCAGGTGGTTCAAACCAGTTGTTCATTAAACAGTTGTTAAGAGGACTGTGAGACTCAGTGGGGTAAAGGGACTGGTCCTAATTTGCTGGGTTTGACATTAGGACATTAAACTATATGATGAGATGACACCCCATTCACAGAGCTGATAAGACAGTCCTCCTGCTTCGTTAGCTCTACTCAGAGGAGGTGGTCTGGGTTGGGTTTTGAAGGATGAGTAGGAGTTTGCAGTTGAAAATGGGAAGGACATTTCAGGCAGAGGGGCCAGCATGATGAGGATACCAGAAGAAGCATAGCCAGATGGCAGGAACAGGAAGAGATGTGAGGGGAGATGGAGCCAGAGAGGGACCCAGTGCATTCATGACCCAGGGAGTTGGAGGATGGAAGATACTTTTGGTTTTAAGGATGGCAGAGGTGTGAAGTCAAGGACAGTGGTTAAGACAGGGGTCCCCAACCCCGGGGCCATGGGCCAGGACTGGGCCACACAGCAGGAGGTGAGTGGCAGGCAAGTGAGCAAAGCTTCCTCTGTATTTACAGCCACTCCCCATTGCTTGCATTACCGCCTGAGCTCCACCTCCTGTCAGATCAGTGGCAGCATTAGATTCTCAGGAATGTGAACCCTATTATGACCTTCACATGTGAAGGATCTATGCTGAGCATATGAGAATCTAATGCCTGATGATCTGTCTCTGCCTTCCATCACCCCAGATGGGACCATCTATCTAGTAGCAGGAAAACAAGCTCAGGCCTCCCACTGATTCTATATTATGGTGAGTTGTATAATTATTTCATTCTATATTATAATAAAGTGCACAAGAAATAGAATGTGCTTGAATCATCCCAAAACCATCCTCTGTGCCCCCCAACTCCCCACCATCCATAGAAAAATTATCTTCCAGAAAATGGTCCCTGGTGCCAAAAAGGTTGGGGACTGCTGGGTTAAGAGATGGATGTCACAGCCAGTAGCCAGAGCCCAGAGCAGGGTGACAGTGGTGGTGATGGAGGGGGACTGGTGTAGGGTCTGGGGCTGCCTGGCTGGGGTGGGTCACTGGGAGGGGGTATGGTGATGCTGGTGGTGAGGGAGTGAGATTGGTGTGGGGTCTGGGGCTGCCTGGTCGGGGTAGGGCACTGGGAGGGGGTATAGTGATGCTGGTCATGATGGAGGGGGCCTGGTGTGGGGTGCAGGGCTGCCTGGCTGTGGTGGGTCACTGGGAGGGGGATGGTGACGCTGGTGGTGAGGCAGTGAGATTGATGTGAGGTCCGGACTGCCTGGTCAGGTTGGGGCACTGGGGGGGTTATAGTGATGCTGGTCGTGATGGAGGGGGCCTGGTGTGGGGTGCAGGGCTGCCTGGCTAGGGCAGGGCACTGGTAGGGGGATTAGCTTGCTTGGGCTGCCATGGCAAAGGACCACCAACTGCATGGCTTAAAGCACAGACATTGATTCTCTCACCGTCTGAAGGTCTGAAGTCCAAAATCACCGTGTCAGCAGTGCCGTGCTCCCTCTGCAGGCTCCAGCGGGGGCTCCTCCTTTATGTCACCCACCTGGACGCAGTCGTCCACCCTTGGCACTCCTTGGCTGGCAGCGGCACCACTCCAGCCTTTGCCTCTGCCCTCACTCGGACTTGTCTCCTGTGTATCTCCTTCTCTTCCTCTAAGGACACCATCCAGTGTGACCTCATCTTAATCTGATGACATTTGCAGAGGCTATCATTCCAAATAAGATCACATTCTTGGGTCTCGGGGGTTGAAGATCTCTTCTGGGGAAACACAGTTATCTTTTGGGGACAAGAACACAGTTAGCTGCCTGCTGGGCCTCCCTTCACCTGCCAAGCTGTGTGCTGCTGGAGGATGAATCCGTGGGATCTGACCGTGGGCCACCCCAACCCCCACCCACACTGGCTGATGTCATCATTCCTCAACATTGAGTCCTGGTTCCAGGCACTGGGGACCCAGACAGGCTGAAGCCGCAGAGGCATCTGGGGGAGTGGTGAGTGCTTCCGGGGCTGGCAGGGCAGGGCTTACCTTGGAGACAGGGGGATGCCTCCCTGGGAGACACCTCCAATGAAAGGGGCTGAGTCTGGAAGCACGAATTCCCCAGGGACAGAGCAGAGCGTTGAGCCATGGGGGCTGGGGGCAGCGCAGCAAGCAGGAGGTGGAGTGAATAGTGGAAAGGGGAAGGGGCTGAGGGAAGGCAGGCCCAGGACGTCCACGGGGATCAGGTTGCAGAGGGGCCACATTGCAGAGGGGCCACGTGCCTGGCCCCTGACCAGCTCGAGGGGCGGGCCCTTTCTGAGACCCCTAGTCTAGCACAAAGGAAATGCTGACACCTTGGGAACAAGCCAGGAGTGTCGTGCGCCAGGGAGGTGGCCCACCATGAGGGGCAGACTGAGGGTGCAGCCCCAGCCTGGGTGTGGGAGAGGGTATTGATCCGGGCGGCTGGGGCTGCAGGAGGCAGGCTGATGGATGGGGCACTTGGGCCCCTGGGTGCGCAGGCACAGCATGCCCACATTAGGCCGCTGACGCCAAAATTGGTCTGGAAAGCCCATCACAGACGGCGGCACGTAGCGCACTAGAATGGCAATTATAGGCGAGTCATTAATTAAAGAAGACTGGCTTTTCACAACGACTCTCATGAACACACACTGCTGGTGCATCTGTTGATTCATTCAGCCTTTACCGAGTGCCTGTGAGACGGGAGTCAGAGCTCGGGCACGGAGGCAAGGGCCTGGATTTGGATCCAGTGGCTCCAGCAAGAGACATGCGCTCTGCGAGCTGTGGAAGCCGGCTGCGCCTACTGGGTGGTACAGCACACGGAAGGCCTGACTCATGCTCGCTCCCTTCCCCTGGGAGGAGGGTGGACAAAAGCGAGAGTTGTGGCCTGCAAAGGACTCCGGCGCCATCAGGGACTGGGCGGGGGCAGGGGGACCACTGTACCCAGCTGGGAAGGAAGGTGTGGTAGAGCTGGGGAGAGGTGAGGCCAGAGGACACTGCCAGTGGCCCTGTTTCTGAAGCTCTATCTGCACTTGCTGCCAGCTCTTCCTAAGGCTCAGCCCTCACTGTGGGACCACCCTCTGCTCCTTTGACCGGAGAACCTAGCCCACAGCTGCAAGTCCCCAAGGCCCCAGCCCACTCCACCCTCCCCCTGCCCAGCCTGCACTCATAGGACCCATCCAGTTGCTCACTCGGGCTCTGCCGGCCCCTGTCCCACCCGTGTTGCCCATGCCCCATTAATTTCAGCTCAGGTGCACTCTTGGGGCCTCTTTAGAGGGGGTGACACGTGCGGTTCTGCACCCCTGCTCCCCTGGGTTCCTTCTCAGGGTCCTCCTGGGCTTCCCCACACAGGCCTGTCCAGGTGGTGCTGCAAGCCCCAGGCTCCTCTTCCTTCTGCAGACATCTCTCCCTGTGCTTCTTCCTTTTCTCCCTCCATCCTTTCATGCTTAGGAATGTTCAAAAAGGGCTTTTATAAAACTTTGTAATTTGTTTAGCTCTCAATTTTGTTTAGAGGCTCGAGACAATGAGGAGGGGTAACTGAAAACCTGGAAAAAAGAAAACCTCAATTAAACTCCTAAATCCAGCAGCAGGAGGTAAAACTGGCGAATGCCGATTTGGAGACTGCTCAGGAAGCTGGCACGGTATCCGCCTGCTGCTGCGTCTAATTCACCGAGACTGGGTGCCCCGCCAGGGCCACACTGGAAGGCCACTTCACCGGCTTCATTAACAGCAAGCACAGAGGGAAACGCCAATGGAAGGCCTGGCATCGAGTATGTCCAAGACATTTCAAAGCACGTATGTTATTCACTTACTTCTGTACAAAGGGCCCTCACAGTGCTAGGAAAGTAATTATGATTCACCAGGAGAGGAAAGCACTGCTCTGTGGAGCTTGAGATCAGCAAACACCTATTGGGAGGCTAAAAGCTTTGTTCAGCAGACTTCAGGGTGAGGGCCCGGCTCCCTGGGAAGATGTTGGGGATGACAGCCTGGCTGTGTCTCTCGGTGCGCAGTTTCTGCTCTATGACACCACCTTTAGCTCCCCACCTTAGGAAGCAACCCCATGTCCGTCAGGATAGGGTGGGACGTGCTCCAGCTAGGAGCGTCCCCACCACTCACATGGGACGGGAGTCTGCACCGTGGTAGCTGTGCTGGACATCATCCTGGTCTGGGTGCTGTCCTGGCCTGGATGATGCCAGAGAACAAGACAGGCAGCAGCTGTGCTCTGGCAGAACTTTCGTGCTTTGGGAAGGAGAAAGACAGCAATGAGTAAGCAAAGAAATACATAGCAGTACGTTGTGTGCATGGTTTCAGAGCGGTGCTGCAGCCGGTGGTCAGGGAGGGCATCAGGGGAGGCAGCGTGGCCAAAGGCCCCAAGGCTGGACCATCTGCTTGGGGACTCAGCGCCCAGGCCTCCCAGTGCAGCCCCAGGGCCCAGCCCTCCACAGCTGCTCCTCTCTGGGGCTGGGAACGCCGGTGGATCCCGGGCCCTGGTAAGAACACGCAGGAGGTGGGCCATGAGCTGGAAGGCGGGAGTTCTGGGCATGGCTCCTGGGCACCTCCTCGCTTCCTACCTCCCTCTGGGCGCCTCCTCGCTTCCTACCTCCCTGAGCTCCAGCCTTGCGGGACAGAGGCCGGGCTGCTGCAGGCCCTCACCGCCTGTCTGCAGGGCCTTGCCTGCCTGGCTGAGGCTGTGCTGCCTGCTGGGAGCACAGTCTCTGGAGCCACCCAGGCTGCTGGTGCTTGAGTCCCAGCTCCTCTTGCCAGGAGATCTTGGACAAGTGACTTAGCTTCCCTTGGCCCGATCTGCATCAGCTGTGACATGAAGTGAATGCCCCCAAGGCCCATCAGAAAAATAAACTGAGTCAATCTGTGCCAAGTGCCCTGTACAGTGTGGGGCGCACAGTAGCCCCCAGCCTGTGTCTTCCCTGAATGAATGGGTGGATGAGTGAATGAATGAATGAGACCCTCTGCCTCCCGGCTGCTGGGTAGAGGTGCCAGGTGGCCACAATTGGCCTGGCAGCCCAGCCCACTCTCTCCGCCTTGCCTGCAGGCCTGTGGCAAGGCTGTATTTCATCTGCTGCAGGTGGGGTAGGGGGCAGGGGGTAGCTGGCCACTGACTCCAACCACTGTGCCTACTCTGGGCTCACACCTGATCCGCCCACCACGAGGGCCCTCCCCGAGCACCATTACAGCAATTAGGAGCTAAGCGCTCCACTTAACCATCAGGGCGAAATCACCGCACTGTGCAGAGGGAGGCAGACGCTCAGCTGTCTCGCCAGCCTGGAGCCCCCAACTCATCTGGGCTGAGGGCGGGCATAGGTTCAGGTGGAGACACGCTTGGGTTTGAACTGCAGTCTGGATGGGCCCGAAGGGCTCTGGCTGAGACGGAGGAGGCGGAATATGCTGGCGGGGCCACAGGGCTGGGCTTCCTATTCCCACGGCACGCATCTCCTGGGGCTGCCATGGCACAGTCCTGCAGATGGGGAGGCCTACGCCACAGAATGCACTGTCACAGTCCAGAGGCTGGAAGCCCGATGTCCAGCCGCCAGCAGGCAGAGCTGGTTCCTCCAAGGCCTCTCTCCCGGCTTGCAGATGCCACAGTCTCCCCGTGTCCTCCCTTGATCTTCCCTGTGCATGCCTGTGTCCTAATCTCTTCTTATGAGGACTCCAGGCAGGTTGGATCAGACCCCACCCTTGTGACCCCATTTTGACTTAATCTCCTCCCTAAAAACCCTTTCTCCAAATGTGATCACATCCTGAGGTCCTGAGAATTAGGACTTCCACATGCGAATTTTGGAGGGACGCGGTTCAGCCTGAAACACCCAGATTTCTGGGCCTTTTGGACACGTCTCCCAGGCTTATTCCAGGTCCCGCTGCTCCTGAGGCCGAGAATAGCCCTTCCTGCCTCCTGCACCCTGACCTCCCCTCCAAGCTTCCGGATGCCTCAGAGATGCAGCTACCACCCAACACCGAGGCAGCCCTGGGCAGAACCTCCTGTGACAATGCAGTGATGGCACCTGCACCTTACAGCCTCTGCGTCCCCAGAATTCAGCCCAGTGCCTGCACGATGAATGCCTGTTGGTTTGATGTGATGGGGAAACTGAGGACAAGCAGACATCTTTCCAAGCTGGAAGCACCCTCAACCCGGGCTGCTGCAGTTGTTTCTGGATGCTTGACAGCTCTCATCCTGTGTTTCTGGACAGCTGATGGCTCTCATCCTCCTCCGTGCTCCTCAGGGATGCCTCCCAGAACTTTGGGAGGCTGAGGCGGGCAGATCACTTGAGGTCAGGAGTTTGAGACCAGCCTGGCCAACAGGGCGAAACCCCATCTCTATCAAAAAATGTAAAAAATTTGCCAGGTATGGTGGCAGGCGCCTGTAGTTCCAGCTATGCAGGAGATGGAGGCAAGAGAATTACTTGAACCCGGGAGGGGGAGGTTGCAGTGAGCCGAGATAGCGCCACTGCACCCCAGCCTGGGTGACAAGAGCAAAACTCCATCTCAAAAAAAACAAAATTCCACTCAGATGACTTCAGTCGGAATTTCCCTGCCCAGTGTCTCAGCTCCAGTGAGAAATATGCAAATGTCCACGCGTCCATGCAAATGTCTACGCATCCTGACCACACCCCCCAGGTCTCAGCCAGGAAATCACCTCTTTAGGAAACGACATAATTATATGCAACTATTTTTGTCTGGCCGGCCAGACTGCAGGATTTACTCTGCTATTAACTCTCTGAAATCTGTCTAGACAATATGGAAGAGCCCTGGACAAGACAAATTCATTAGCAGGCCTGAATAATTCAGATAGACTTGGAAAGCAAATGAGCAGCAAGGTGTTCCCTCATGGTCTCTGCACACATAGGTTTTCCTTTAAGAGGCGGAATATAAATTAATAACAGTCTGATTGTCGTTAATAACACAGGCAGTGCCCATCCGCGGCTCCCAGATAGCCACACATTAAGGAAAGCTTTCATTTCCTTCCCCCTGGACGAATTGGTTGGTTAAGCTCTTGGAAGCAGCCCCATCGCATTGGTCAGAGATGACTGCTCCAATTATGAATCGCACAGCCATAACGTTTTGCAGCAGAGGAAGAGCTCTGCTCAGAAGTCGCTCTATCTTGGGAACTGTCTTTGGGGCAACAGGAGAAAAATCCGCATCCCCTTCCCCACACCAACCATCAGGTTCTAAATGAGTGAATGGGACAGGCTGTGCCCCTTTCAGGGGAAAACCAGCTTCAGAAAGAGCAGCCCCCTCACCCCGGACACCCCCAAAAGTGGGAAATCTGGCATGGGTAACCCAGCGCTCTTGTCCTCCCGACGATGCCGGCTGTCTGTGTGTCTCGCAGCCCCTTGGCCCACCTAGGGCTTCAGTTTCCGTTGCTGAACAGTTCCCCTGCACCCCTGAGGCTCGAGCCTGTGAGCTTACTCTGGTCATGGAAGTCAGCCTGGCCCACTTGCAGGGCAGGCGAGAAAAGCTAGGGAGTTTGTTCCTGCAAGAACAGCCCTCACTCACTGTTGGAGAAGACTAGGTGAAGGAAGGCCCTGTGTAGGCACAGTTCTGTGGAGGGCTCTGCACTGTCTCTGTGAGGACCTCCAGTGCCCAGGAGGGCTGAGCTCCAGTTGTCCGTGGAGGCCACTCCCTCATCAATGCACTTTTCCTGGCTCTCCTCCCCTCTCTGTCTCCCTTCCCTAGCCCCATCATGTGCTTTCTGGGATCACCCCCAAATAAAGTACATGGCCATATATAGGTGAAGTCCTAGGTCAGATGAGTGGGGCCCCGTGGAGGCCAGCACCGTGCATTTGGGGCCCTGGTAACACCCGAGGCACATTCCAAGGGGCTGCTTCTCAATGCACACCCCTCTGTCAGTGACTACTGGCCTGGCCCTCTGCCAGGACAGACCCTTTCATGACTGCCCAATGTGGAATTGCCCTAAGAGATCCTTCAGCATTTCTGGTGGGGGGTGCCTCTGGTTCTGACAGCAACTCTGAAAGTTCCAGATTGGTGTGGCCAAAGGGGATGAAAAGTGTGCCAGTTCTTTGAGGTCTCTTGCTTCCTGGGACCTGCTGAAGATTCCTGGTAGGGGGTTCTAGGCCCTGGGATGGTAGAATGCACATTGGGGGTTGCTATGCAAAACAGCTTCTCCCTGACTGTCATCAAGTTACAACAACAACAGTCCTCGTCCCAGGACTCCTCTTCTGCTCCAGACCCTGGGCTCCATACTAGGCCCTGGGGAGAATGGGGTCTCTGGAGCTGGCCCAGGGCTCAACGCTTTTGAAATAAAATAGGAGCCAACAGATGGAATCTCTCAACATCACCATCGGAGTGGTGGAGGCCAGGGTAGTGAATGTGGCTGAGAATGAGAAGGAAGATGTGCCTACCCAGCTCCAGGCAGCCCTGGCCTGGCCAGGCCAGGCCTCTCCATCTGGCCTCTGCTGTCAGCCTCTCTCAAGGGGAAGGTCTCAGCTAGGCCAAGACGTCTCAGTTATCTTTCCCAAATCTGCCTATCATGGGAGTCACTCCACCTTCCTGGAGCAGTGAAGAGCAGGAATACATCACAGATACATTCTCCTTCTTGAAAACCAAGAACAGGGGAAAGGCATCCCATTGGACCCAGCCCCAGGCCCGCAGAAAGAAGCACAAATCAAGGAACTAACACGTTATTTGGGAGGTGCAAACCCAGGGTGATGAGGATGGAGGAAAAAGGGAAGGGGCCAAGGAAGGATGTACAGAAATGAGATGCAGTGTGCTCCCTGTTGGCCGCCTTCACAACAGGCTGGGCAGATGCAGCAGTCACGTAGCAGATCATACCCAGGCGAGCAATAAGGAAAAGAGATAAATGTTAAATCAAAGTAATAAATAAACTCTTGGATCATCAGATAATCCATTAATAAATGGGTCACATGAATACTCTATGAAAATATCTAAATTTCCTGCTGATTTAACACAAAACATTTGACATCACTGAAGAGAGTAGAAAGCTCACAATATTCAACACAGCAAGGACATTGATGACCAACTGGTTGAGGTATGTCATCAATTCAAAGAGCGTCCAACATGAGTTATATCCAAGAGCCCTGGAAGTGCCTTGATATTGCACATCTCAAGTAGAGAAGCAATTTGATGAGGTTTCCCCAAATTTGACAACTGTTTCATAATTTATATAATATGACAAATAACGAATAGTAAAAGGGAAACTTCTTTCAAATGTCAACACTTGAAAACAAGCTTTGACCAACCACGAGAGATTGTCTCAATGGAAAATACTGTCAAATTAGGATCTTATGGAGAGATGGAGCAAGCATGTGGCCAAAACCTGTGGGTATAAAGTAAATAGTCACAAGAATGTTCCTTAGTAAAATTGATGTAATTTTTCTGGAGCTTTGAAATTTGTTGTATTTGTAAGCTATTTTAAGCTTGAAATGTGTTATTTCTTTCCTCATTCTAAGTAAATGTTCACTTTTATAACTAAATTTGCATTTATAATTTTGTAATTTTGTATTTTTTTTTCCCAAGATGGAGTTTCGCTCTTGTTGCCCAAGCTGGAGTGCAATGGCGCAATCTTGGCTCACTGCAACCTCCGCCTCCCAGGTTCAAGTGATTCTCCTGCCTCAGCCTCCTGAGTAGCTGGGATCACAGGCTCGTGCCACCACACCTGGCTAATTTTTTGTATTTTTAGTAGAAACGGGGTTTCACCATGTTAGCCAGGTGGTCTTGAACTCCTGACCTCAGCTGATCCACCTGCCTTGGCCTCCCAAAGTGTTGGGATTACAGGGGTGAGCCACTGCACCCGGCCTTGTATTCTTTTTCTTAAAAGCCCTCACCCCATTATGTAAACTTCAGTCCCCAGTAAACCCATATCCATCTCATATAGCAGCAGTCCCCAACCTTTTTGGCACCAGAGATTAATTTTGTGGAAAGCAATTTTTCCACAGACCAGGTTGGGTGGAGGGATGATTTTGGGATGAAACTGTTCCACCTCAGATCATCAGGCATTAGATTATCATAAGGAGCATGAAACCTAGATCCCTCGTGTGCACAGTTCGCAATGGGATTCATCTCCTATGAGACTCTAATGCTGCTGCTGATCTGACAGGAGGTGGAGCTCAGGCGGGAATGCTCACTTGCCTGCCACTCACCTCCTGCTGTGAGACCTGGTTCCCAGCAGGCCATGGACTGATACCAGTCCAGGCCCAGGGGTGGGAGATCCCTGCTCTATAGGCCCAAAACTACTCAAGGGAGATCTCTGGGGTAAACTGAGGTGCTGGGCACCCATGGGGTCCTAGAGGCAGAGTACAGAGTATCCCCTTCCTCTTCGCAGCTGGAGGGTCTGACCATGCCCTGTCCTTGTGGGGCCAGTGGCTGCAATGCCCAGATGTCAGCTGCCCGCTGAGGCTGAGCCCTTCTCCTGTGGACAGGCTGCCCCAGAGTCAGGCAACCCCAGATCCCTGTGGCCTCCCCTTGGGCATTTTCAGGCCTCAAGATGGGGGTGGATGTCAGGGAGTGAAAGGGAAATCCTGGTGTATTAGTCTGTTCTCATACTGCTACAAAAAACTATCTGAGACTGGGTGATTTATAAGGAAAAGAGGTTTAAGTGGCTCATGGTTCTGCAGTCTGTACAGGAAGCATGACTGGGGAGGCCTCAGGAAACTTACAGTCATGGCAGAAGATGAAGGGGAAGCTGGCACATCTTATGTGGCTGGAGCGATAGGAAGAGAGCAAAGTGGGAGGTGCTACACGCTTTCAACCAAACAGATCTCGTGAGAACTCTATCAGCGTCTCCGGGCCAGCTGTCCTTCTGGCTTGATGGTGGCACACTGACCCTGGCTTGTACGTCTCCAGTGCTGGGGAGCTCACTACCATGAATGTTCGCCCTGCATTGTGCACCACCCCTGAGACCCCTCCTCCAGTACAGAGGCCGAGCCTTTCTTGGGCTCCGCTGCCAGTGACAACCCTTCTGAGACGTGGAGAAGGTGACAAGGTCTATCTGTGCCCCTGCCCCCTGCACACAATGGCCTCAGTTTCTTCAGCTTTTGCCTGGATTCTGAGGTTTTCCTCCACTTGCCTGGCCTAACTCCTTGGTCTCCCATTCCGGCCAAGGCTGACCAAGAGGAGGGAGAGAGGGCCCGTTTCATCCTCCATCCATGACACTCCATATCCTTTGTGGCAGCTCAGCCTCCCCCAGCCTTCTGGGAAACAGTGTTTAACCCTTTGTGGTGTTCGTCTCCTGTGGCTGCCATAATAAACACCATGGACTTGGCAGGTCAGTGCTCAGTAATTATCTCATGGTCCTGGAGCTCGTAGTCCAGCACGGGTCTCACTGGGATAATGTCAAGGTGTCAGTGAGGCTGTGTTCCTTCTGAAGGCTCCAGGGGAGAAGCCAGTCCTTGCCTTTTCCACCTCCTAGAGGTGCCCACATTCATTGGCTCGTGGCCCTGAGCTCCCACTGTAAAGCCAACCACAGTGGGTGGAGGTCTTCCTGCACTGAGTCACTCTGGCCCTGCTTCTGCCTCCCTCCCGCCCAGTGCAGGACCTGTGTCATGATCCAGGATCATCTCTCCATCTCAAGTCAACTGACTTGAAGTCTGGATGTCCTGGGGCCACAAAGCCTAACACAGTCACAGATTCCTGGATTCCAACGTGGACCACTTTAGGGGCCATTTCTCTGGGGCCACGCCTTCCTCCCTGGAGGGCTTCAGGGGTCTTGCCCAGCCATGCTGCCTCCTGGTGGAGTGCTGCTCGGACACACACACCTGTCTCCCAGGTGAGCTATTCATATGCTCACAGCCAAGAGTGTGGACCTCGACCTGGGCGGACTTGGGCTCACAGGTCAGCACTAGGCATGACCCTGGGCAGGTTTCTTGTTGTGCCCAAGCCCCAGTGTCCTCATCTGTAAAATGGGGACAAAAGGTCCACTTCTGGCTGGGCATGGTGGCTCACACCTATAATCCTAGCACTTTGGGAGGCCAAGAAGGGTGGACCATTTGAGGTCAGGAGTTTGTGACCAGCTTGGCCAACATGGTGAGACCCCATCTTTACTAAAAATACAAGAATTAGCCAGGCATGGTGGCACGTGCCTGTAATCCCAGCTACTCAGGAGGCTAAGGCGGGAGAATGGCTTGAACCCAGGAGGCGGAGGTTGCAGTGAGCCGAGATTGCACCACTGCACTCCAGCCTGGGTGACAGAGTGAGACTCCGTTTCAGAAAAAAAAAAAAAAGACCCACTTCTCAGGCTTGGCTGAAGTTTAAGGGAGAATGTGTATGTGATGTTCGTGGTAGATGGTCAAGAGATGCCGCCAGGTTCCCTCCCTCCCCACACACTGAGGGCGCTTTGAGGGTCCCACAGGAACCTTCTCCCCGGGCTCCAGGTGAACATGCCTGGTGCAGCCTGGGAGTTCTCTCCAGCAACTGGCCACCCACTGTGGGCACAAGTCTAAGGCAGATGACTTACAAGGGCTGGCCAGGCGAACACTCCACTGTTAGATAGCAATTAAGTCCAATACTTGGAGACATAAATGAACTTACTAGTATAGGTGGGTGGTAGAACCCAAACAGTGAATATGTGATTTTAATGAACAAGGAAGTCTGAGCAAAGATCACATAAGGTCAGGGGACCTGTCCTGGCTCGGATATGACCCAGTTTACCAAATAGTCCCCGAAAACTTCCCACTCACATGAAGGGACCCTGGGTTTGTCCCGAGCCTTCTAGCAACCAGGGCGAGGGTGAAAAATGCATCAGTTCCTACATCCACCATGCAAAAACTCTGTGGTTTTTGAAAAGGCCTTTTGGGAAGAAGCACAGCTCTTCTTGGTCTGAGGTTAGAGGCCGACCCCAGGGAAGGGGCGCCAGGTGAGGAGATGACCATGTGTGAAGGTGCCAGATGGGGCTTACCCGGCCTCTCTCTGATCACAGAGCTTGGTGGCAGCATCCCCTGACCCTGTCACCTCCGGAACCTGCGAAGGCCCCCACCCCTGCTCCTTCTCATGCTGCTGCAGTCACAGACTCAACTTGAGAGCTGGTTCTTGCTCAACACCTTCCTTTTAGAAATGGGCAGGACCTCGACACATCACCTACATCACCACGTGTGTTGACTTGTGCAACATTTATACCGCTGTATCTCCAGGCCAGGCCTCATTCCCTGCAAGCCTCCTGCGTCTCTACCTACCACCCTCCACCTCTCCAGTAGACGTCTCACCCGCAGAGCAAACTCAACAGCTCGGCCACACCTGAGCTGCCGTCATCCTGCTGAGACCTGCCCCAAGGCCTGTGTCTGGCTGGGGGGTGTATCCAGACTTCCCTTGCTTCATCTGGCCCTGAACCTGAACATCGTCCCCCATGCCCCTCATGCCCCAGCCAGGCCGCCAGCAAGGCCGCCTCCACCCTATTTCCAAATAGGGTCCCCTTCACAGGTACCGGGGTTACAACTTAGATCTGTCTTTGGGGGACATCTGAAATACGGCTTGACCTGCTCAGCCCCAGCGAGTGAGCATGCTGCACCTTGTCCTCTTAAAGGATCGGTGTCATTGGGTCATGCCCCTCCTCGGCTCTGAATGCTGCACAGGCCCCTCCTCCCACTCGGGGTTAAAGCCCATGGCCTTGGCAGTGGTCACCCAGGTACCATGAGCTGGGCCTGCAGCCCTGGCTCCAGCTCCCAGCCCCTCCCCCACTCACACTGCCCCAGCCCAGCCCTGGTGCACCCCATAGGCCTCTGTGCCACCTGCTCGCTCTGCTTGGAATGCCCTTCCGGCAGGTTCTCTAAGGCTCACTCCTCACCCCCTCATGCTGCCTCTCCTCCACGAGGCCCCCATGCAAGGCCCCCCTACTTGAGCCCTCCCATGAGGGCCCCCTTCTCCATGAGATCTCCCTCTCCATGAAGCCACCTACAAGGTCCCCTTCCAGACCCCCCACCACGAAGCCCTCCTTTCCATGACGCCCCCCACCTGAGGCTCCCCTCTCCATGAGGTCCCCCTGCAAGGCCCCCCACTCCACAAGGCCCCCGCTCCATGACGCCCCCTTCCATGAGCTCTGGGCCACTGTCTGAAGCTGCACCCAGCCTCCCTTCCTGCCCCAGCCCTTTCCATCCCCTTCTCCGGCTCTGTTTGTTGCTGTCCCCCAGTGTCCATCTGTCTGTCTAGCAGACAGTCGCCTGCTGTCTTTGTAGTTTATCACCCATCTCCCTCCCCCACGCCACCTCCCAGTGCAAACACGATGGGTAGGCAGATGCAGCTGCCTCACTCACTGACACATCCCAAGCGCCCTGCCCAGTGGAGCTCGATCGGTTTCTGTAGCATGAGT